>NC_000010.11:51658246-51809761 GCF_000001405.40 Homo sapiens
TCATGCACCCACTCGCCATATCTATTGACAAAGGGAGAAAGAGGATCTGGCCTCTCTGCCACCCAATGCAGAAAGAAGGCAGTCACCTAGATTAAAATACTCCTTTCTCTCCAGGATTACCATAATAGGGCAGGGCAGTCACAGTGCTCTGAGGGTGGGAGAATAGACATAGGGCAGGCACAAAATGACAAATGTCCCTTCCAGATCCTAGGGGGCAGGTGACATGAAAAGTAGCCCAACAAACATGTCATGAATCCCACAGGACCTTGCCTTAGATTCAAACCTGGCCTACGTCAAGGCTAACAATTATAGAAAACTGATGCTGTGAGGGAAAAAAAAAAAATTCATCTAAAACTCATTCTTCATCTATAAGCATAACTCGTAGCAAGAGATGAATTCTCACTAAAGGATATAGAGCAGAATAAAGTTAAATTGACCCCAAAACTGGCTACAGCTTTTTGCCATTGATTTCCATAGAGAGCGGTTCTTTTAACTTCTGGCGGTTTTCACTTTTATTTTTTTTCTTCTACGGTTTTCAGAAAATAGTGTCTCCTTGAAATATTAGCAGAAAAACTCCCAGTTTTCTCTTTCCCAGGACACATTTATTTTTCAACCTGTCTAGATATAAAATACTTAAGTTTTTTTTGCCCAAATCCTTTCTACTTTTGAAAAACATGTATTTTCCATCTCTTCTACTCCCATATTACTAGACAAAAATGACACACTTGGACAAATGCAAAAACAACAGTGGGCAATGGGTTTTTCAAAATGAGATCACCAGCGAATTCTCTGTATTTATTATGCAATTTGCCCACTTTGCATTTGATTTGGCTGTTTTATGTTTTCTTCTAATCAAAGTTCTCAGTAAAACATGAGGCAAAGGTGTTTGTTTTATAAGCATGCTTTTTATATAATTCAAGTATTCTTAGGGATTCTAGAAAATAGGCTTGAAGATTGGGTTAGGGGTCCAGTAGAGAACAAGCATAAATATACCCTAAAATGACAATGTTCCCTAAAACAAATAACACACAGGGATGACAGTTCGCTCAAATGTGCTACAGAGGGTAATCATTGTGATCTGGAACAGTCAGATGCATTTTAGAGAAGAGTCTTGAGATAGCCTTCAGAGGACAGGTAGGATTTTTGTAGGCCCAGAGGAGCTGAGCCATCTGGCTGGGAGAACAGCATGAGCTAATACCCAAGGAGATTAATAATCTATAACAAATGAACATAATTGTTTTCAGGCAAAATCAAGGGTTATGATGATGTGATGACTAAAAGGCTTGACTCAGTCCATTGGAAATATGAGACTAAAGGGCAGGGGAAATTTAGGAGTATGAGTATAGCTATCTCCGTGCACAGTATCAAGAGATGAAGCTGTAGCAGTGAATTATCTCACTTGTAGTCAACAAGGCAGATTCAGGTTTTGTGAAGTTTGAAGCCTATTCCAATTTGGAATGTCCTATTTATGGAAAAGTATACAAAATTGCAAATGCAAACTTGCTAGAGCTCATCACAAGCCTTGGAAGATGCCAATTAAATGAGAGACCCTGAATCCTAAGCTTTGTTAGTTTTTGAAATGTCTGCTTCCAACTATAGCAGTGCTGACCAGTAGAAATATAATGTGAACCACGTATGTAACTTAAAATTTTCCATCATGAACATCAAAGAAGCAAAAATAAGCAGTATTTCGACCCCACTCTAGACCTACTGAATCAGAATATACATTTTTAATAAGGTCCCCAGATTATTCATATGCATATTAAAGTTTGAGATACGCTTTTGAGATATGTCGCTCTATAGAATGAAGAATAGAGTGTCTGAAAATAGTTGCTGAAAAAAAGAGACAAAGAAATTCTCAAAGAAGGCCTAGGGAAGGGAATTAAAAAAAAAAAAAAAAGTAACAGAGATGGTTTCTGGGATCAAGAAGACACAGTGACAAATGACACAGGAAGGCTGAACAAGATGGTTAGAATTGAGAATAATCATTATCAGAATCATGCTGAATGCTAGCTATAATTATAAGACCATCACCACCGGCAGCACCGCCACCTTCATCATCATCATCATCATCTTTTTTAGCCCATTGGTAAACTTTGAGCAGTTTCAAGGGAGAGAGCAGTAAAAAATAATGTGAATGTGAAAGGATTGAGAAGGAAATGATGGGCCATAAAGTGTGTTTAGATTGCTTTTGGGCAGAAAAAAAAAAAGACATTTCAATGTAAAGGTATCACGGTATATTAAGGAAATAGGACAGCATCCTAGCAGTATTTTCAAGTATTTTTCAACCTAATTACGAAAAGCTTATAGTGACTCTTTCTCATTCCTTCTCATACTCATTTCCCTACCTCAGTAACCCAGTTCAAATAATAACTCTGATTATTCACAGTAACTTCAGAATACATTTGGAATAGTTCTGAAATTTATTATTGAAAAAGTTTTCACGTGGATTCAGAGCTGAAAATGAAAAATGATCCTTCTGAAGCTGCTTAATTGAACACCTTTATGCCTGTGGCCCTGCTTGGTGATGCATGTTATGGCTGCCAGTGGGTAAAAAGGGTTGCATGCAGTTATTGAAATGCTTTGTGACTTCCGTGATTGCAAAGCTTAATTTAATCATAACAACATATCTCATTACTGTTGCAAATGTTTTATTCACTTTTGCTGTTAATATAGTCCTCTATTTTTATTTGGATTCAAGGAAATATAAATGTTTTAAATTGGAACATAAATCACATATTAGAATCCAAATGAGCCCATTTCATTCTGTGAGCAGAGATTTTATTGTTGTTGTTGTTAGAATGGATTTTCCAAAAAGTGCTTGGTTGATTTAGCAAACTGAGTGAGTCCATATATAAAGAAAAGCCTAGATATAGGAGACTAGGTATTCAACTTTGTATTTCCATTATCAAGATGCTATCTGGAACATAATTGGCACTCAATAAATACCACAAGGATGGATAGCAAGATGAATGAATGGATGACAATACAACAGTTATTTCCCCTACTTACAGTTGATCCAAAAACCATTGCTTCCAGTGTGTTTGGTTATTTTCATGAAATTAACCAGTTATTTTAATGAAATTCCTATTTTACCCCTTTTTAATACATTGGAGTTAAGAACTTAAACAAATTTACAAGAAAAAACAACCCCATCAAAAAGTGGGCAAAGGATATGAACAGACACTTCTCAAAAGAAGACATTTATGCAGCCAAAAGACACATGAAAAAATGCTCATCATCACTGGTCATCAGAGAGATGCAAATCAAAACCACAATGAGATACCATCTCACACCAGTTAGAATGGCAATCATTAAAAAGTCAGGAAACAACAGGTGCTGGAAAGGATGTGGAGAAATAGGAACGCTTTTTCACTGTTGGTGGGAGTCTAAACTAGTTCAACCATTGTGGAAGACAGTGTGGCAATTCCTCAAGGATCTAGAACTAGAAATACCATTTGACTCAGTGATCCCATTACTGGGTATATACCCAAAGGATTATAAATCATGCTGCTATAAAGACACATGCACACATATGTTTATTGCAGCACTATTCACAATAGCAGAGACTTGGAACCAACCCAAATGTCCATCAATGACAGACTGGATTAAGAAAATGTGGCACATATACACCATGGAATACTATGCAGTCATAAAAGGATGAGTTCACATCCTTTGTAGGGACATGGATGAAGCTGGAAACCATCATTCTGAGCAAACTATTGCAATGACAGAAAGCCAGACACCACATTTTCTCACTCATAGGTGGGAATTGAACAATGAGAACACTTGGATACAGAGCAGGGAACATCACACACTGGGGCCTGTCATAGGGTGGGGGAATAGGGGAGGGATAGCATTAGGAGAGATACCTAATGTAAATGACGAGTTAATGGGTGCAGCAGAACAACATGGCACATGTATACATATGTAACAAACCTGCACGTTGTTAACATGTACCCTAGAACCTAAAGTATACTTTTAAAAAATTGAAGTTGATTATTTAATACTAGTTGATCTAATCAGGCATTTAATTGTGTGGATAAGGGCATAAAAAGACAGAAACTGGTCATTATGAATTATGTAGAAATTATCTTCTGTATTTTTAGAGTATCTTTTTCTTGAGGATAAAAGATAAAAGTAATCCTTCAAACCATTTATACTATATTTCTTTTGTCCTTTTTGAGCAATAAACACACACACAAAATTATGTGCTATGTAGTCTGACAAAACATATGGTATAAGACTTAGAATTGTGGTTCAAGACTCTAGTCATTAAACATATGTAGAATTTGTACTATGTGTCAGTTACTGTACTAGTCCTTGGGGAAATTTAGCTGAAAAAGACTGTTTCCCAACTCACTTTCTTTTTGGGAAAGTTTGTATACATAAAACCATTATATGATCAATTATAAAAAGTACAACCATAGACTAAGGAGAAAAGTATAAAAGGAGCAAATGGAGAAGGCCATGAATTCTTACTGAAGGATTAAGAAAAACTTCAGAGATGGGAATATTTTAACTGAGCCTTAAAAGATTGAAGACTGAAAATGGGGAAAGAGAATCACAAAGGGTAGCAAGTTCAAAGGTATAGACTCAGGATTTTTATGGAGTTAGTGAATAGTGTACTGGGGCAGTAAGTGTGGAGTGTATTGGGTGGAATGTTAGGAGTAGCACTAGAATGTTGGATCTAGTTTGTGAAAGACTTAGTAGGCTCTACTAGCGAGTTCGGCTTTTAACCTATGGAACTCAGGCAACTACCAAATGTTTCGGAGCAAAGGAGTGGTATGATTAGAATTAGGTTTTAAATAATGAATTTTAGCAGGTAAAATTTACAGTAGAAACTGTAACGGTGTCCAGTGATGAAAACAGAACCAGAAAACCGCAATGAGAAAGGGAAAGAGAAGATAAATATAAAAGAGATTATGGGGCCAGATTGGGCAACACTGGCCAGATTTTGATATGAAAAGTGAAGATGTAGAAAGAGTCAAAAACAAGGCAGATGTTTTTAGCTTGAGCAACGATGTGGATGCCATGGCTGTGTGAGAAACTCTAAAAGAACTCACCAAGGCCAGTTTCCTGTTCTATACAGTTTCACATATGATTTTCATCTTATAGCTTATTCCTTCTATTCAATTTCACATCAACCTTAAAGCTGTTTAGAAAACAATTTTCTGGCTGGATGTGGTGACTCATGACTATAATCCCAGCACTTTGCAGATTCAAAGTAGGAGTCTTGCTTCAGGTCAGTAGTTTAAGAGCCGCTTGGACAACATAGCAAGACCCCATCTCTACAAAAAAAGAAAAAAAAAACTAAAAAATTAGCTGAGTGTTGTGGCACATGCCTGTAGTCCTACCTACTCTGGAGGCTGAGGTGACAGGATCACTTGAGCGCAGAAGTTTGAGGTTGCAGTGAGCTATGATCAAGCCACTGGGAAACAGTGAGACCCTGTCTCAAAAAAAAAAAAAAAAAAAAAACACACCTGACTTTTTGATATTGTCTCTCTCTTCTTAGATATAGCAATGGAATAAACTGCAGAAACTTAGAGAGAATTATTAGATCTCTAATTAGGAATCATTTTTTCTACTTTTCAAGGAAACATTGAAAATATTTCCAGGGATGAAAATTAAATTTTTAATTTGTAAATTTTAATAATGGTTTCAAAATTTAACATTTATGATTCTTTGAATAAAATAAACAAAAGATAGAAACTGAATTTTATTAATTTCTACTTTAAAAATTATTTTGTTGAGTTTTGTTTTTCTTTAGTTTTATCTCCCTAAAATTTTGTAAATTGAAATAGAGATAAGTGTTATTATTAATATTTTTGAGATAAGCTACCCAGTGGGTTCATTTTGCTGGAATACAATTTATATTTTCTTGAGTGAAGAAATTTATCTTTAAGTGAATTATGAAATTAAACCAGAATAATTTCAGGACCACTAAGAAGTTCATTTTATTCAATTTGACAAACATAATTTGACAGAATATCATCAGTATTGTGGCAAAACCTAAAATAATACAACTCTTAAGAAGAATAATCATTTTTCTTTCTGTTGTTTGGCCCATCAATTCATGAATTAATTTTCATAGCCAAATTTCCAAAACAAAAATACATTTCTTCAGAAAAAGTAATAAGGATCTGTGTTCTTCCACAGGAATCTCTTTTCTTATGACACTGTCCTAACATGGACAGCTTATCACTTACTACCCACTTGAAATACTCAAGAACATAAGTCTCTTAGAAATAAATGCACTCTCATTTTGCATCTAGTCTATTGTCAAACACTGGGCTTAAAGCATTTTCATGGCTGTTGTGTTGAGTTGCTAGTCCAACCCTGTGAGTTTTGTATAATCATTACCATCTTAGCAGTCCAGATACTGAGGGCGAATAAGATACCCTCTTTGAAAATGGTTCTGGTACAGAAAGATCTCAAAACTCCATCTTTGTTAAGAAAAATAAGATGAGCATTGGAACCAAACCAATCTGATCTAAATCCTGACTCTACAATTACTTAAAACTTCCTGAACATCAATGTTCTCATTTTTTTAAATGAAGAAGATAGTACCTAATTCAAAATATAATTAGGAGGGTAAAATAAAATAGTATCTTCTTTTGAGAGGATGTCAGTGGACATTTAATCAGCAACGGCTTGGGGATAGCTTCATTATTGTTATAAGAGTATGTCAACAGTGCCATCTGACCTGTGGACTTTTAAAAGCTGCTCATGGTTGGGAACAGCAAATTATTGTGCTCCAGATCTCATCAGCCACTTTATTCACAAACGTTCTGCTATTCAAGTCTGTTGTCACTTCTGAGTACAAATCTCTTACTTTTCATTATTAACTGAAAAAAAGAATCTCACAAAACTCACATTGTAACAACTTGAATCGTTATCTGGGCATAAATAATTTGTATCATGTAATGATTAGATGAGTTAAGCAAATAAAAATCTAAATTGCAGAGAAAAATTCTAAAGCAAACATTATAAAGAAACAAAAGTTGATTTTGACAGATAAAAATTAAAATAAGAGGGTACCTAATTTGCGGTATGAAATGATTTCATTATGTGTCACTAAAATAATTTTACATTGCCTTGCTCAATATAATTAATACTGAAAATTTCAAAAATCCGTCTTAGTTATGTTGCCATTGTACTGATTATATATGGCCATATTATTTTGCCTAGTTATCTGAATCTTGATTTTAAGACCGTATGATCAGTAAACTATTATCCACCCATAGTCAACATTTTATTTAAGACAAATGTATTGTGTCAATCCCTTTTCTCTTTTGTAAGCCAAGATTCTATTTTGTACCTAATTGTACATTTTAAGACAACATGTTTATGGTCAGGATATGAAGGAAAAAGAGATTAACAACTGAATTTTGTGGTTTTTGAAATGTTGTTTCAACAGTTTTTATTTTTATTTTTTTTTTGTCTTTC
Organism: Homo sapiens; assembly: GCF_000001405.40. Classification (NCBI taxonomy): domain Eukaryota; kingdom Metazoa; phylum Chordata; class Mammalia; order Primates; family Hominidae; genus Homo; species Homo sapiens. The sequence goes on from NC_000010.11 coordinate 51,665,696, forward strand.
TACTCATCCCTCCTTCTATTTCTTGATCTCCTTCTTCCTTCATTTTTTAAAATGTATGCTGCTCTGTAAAAGAAATTATACTAATCTCAAGTCTAAGGAGAATATTAAGATATAAGAGATATTGTCATCGACCTCAACGGATTTTTATTTTGGTAGAAGAGAAAAAAAATTATAGGTTGATTGCTAAATAGAGGTAGAGAGAGCTAGAGGTATTTATGAATATGTGTGTGTGTGTGTGTGTTTGTGTGTTTGTGTGTGTGAAACAACACAAGGGAAAGCAATGTCCTGGGAAACTGTGATTTTAGCAACACATTTATTATTAAAAAAGAAATGTAAATGAGCTTTAAATGATCAATAGCCTTAGAGAAATTAATGGAAATCAAGGTGTTGACAAATGAAACCTTATGTTTGTATGTACCATATAACAGGAAGATTTCATTCTACATGGAAGAAATGTGGTGACATCCGTATTATGTGTCCTGTGACTCCAGCCCTAGCTCCCCTTTATTCTGACAAGCATTGCTAGGGCACAATCTCTGCTGCTAAAATGTAGATGTCAATAGAAATCAAGTATATCTTTGGCTGCCTCTCCAACCACAAGCCCGACACTAAGTTGGCCCCTTGATGGTTTTTGACACATGAAAGAATATAAGCAAACTTACATAAGGAGCAGATGACACTGGCTGGGAATTAAATTGGAATGATTCCTTTGTAAGATTCTCTAGTGGTTTGAGAACTAAAAGTGAGTGAATCCTTGTGACACAAGTTTGATGTAAACAAGTGGCCTTTTCCTTATTCCATTATGCTTAATTTACTCCATAGCATCTTTTGGGACAGACCACCTTCTATTCCCCTCAAAGAAGTACAGCAGTATAATAATATACCATAAATGCTACTTACCCTTGAAGTGAAATATCTGCTAGTTCTGAGCTTTGCCAGAACAATACTTCATATCATAAATCCACCCACATGGTAGATGCAGCTGTTGCTTAATTATTTCATCAGGCACAAGGTTCATGGTTCCTTGGCTAAATCTTTAAAAGCAATTGTTAAATGTGTTCAGTAGAACTCTTGTAAAAGTTTATTTATTTATTTATTTATTCTTTTTTATTTTTTTGAGATGGAGTCTCTCTTTGTCACCCAGGCTGGAGTGCAGTGGTTCAATCTCAGCTCACTGCATCCTCCACATTCAAGGTTCAAGTGATTTTCCCGCCTCAGCCTCCTGAGTAGCTGGGATTACAGGTGCCTACCACTAAGCCTGGCTAATTTTTTTTGTATTTTTAGTAGAGACGTGGTTTCACCATGTTGGTTGGCCAGGCTGGTCTCGAACTCCTGGGCTCAAGTGATCCACCTGCCTCACCGTCCCAAAGTGCTGCCATAAACATTTATTTCTATTATTGACAAAAATAATATCTAATAACTAAAGACTCCAAAATATTGTTAATTATATATAAATGTACTGCCAAAAGCAATATCTCAATATTATTTACAATATACCTATTGATACTTTTTATTTTTCAAGAATGAAAGAAAGCCAATTGTTTTGAAATAAAGCATGTTTTTCTTGTGAATATCTATGAAAGAATGTCTTCTACATGTCAAATATATTGTCTAGTATATAGTTCCTTTTAAAAAATGATACCAAAGTAGAATAACATAAAAACACTATTTTTAGATACGTACAGCCTTCCTTCTGTTATTTAGAATTGAGAATGCTTTATTCAAGCTAACTGGGTTTTTAACTTGCTGTTGTCAATTGTAATAGTGTTAAATAATGATGACTTAGGATTATATGGCTGAATTAGATATAGGGAACACTCTTACTGAGGAAAAAATAAGAGGTGACATTTCAACATTATACAAACCATATTTTTAAAGCTCACATTTTTTTTAAAGGGTTCCGGGGACTATAAACACTCCTACTGAGTGAGCATCGTAGAAGTCCTTCTGGGTATTAATCTTATTCATCTAGTCTTGTCCATGTGTTATTTATATTTCTATACTGCTCAAATTTATTAAGATTTATTTGTCTCTTCTGTATGTCTTCAAAGTATTGTTTTCTGTCTACTAAATCTTTCAAAGATTCCAGGCTCAGGCATCATTTGTCTTTTCCTAAGCTCTGACTATTTTGAGCTCTATATTGTGTTCACAGTGCAAAGGTCCTGTTGATTTCCCCAAGATGAAAACATTACTGAGTTATGTGCAGAGACCTGAAGACAAAATCTGGCCCTGAAGTTGGTTGAGATTATTCATGGGGAGAATTTTCCAGCTCTTTTTTTTTTCCTGCCTAAAGCCATTGAATGCCTCTTAAATCACTGACATAAAATTTAGGTCAACACATTGCCTGGGGTCATTTAAATTTCAAATCTGCTGCCATTTTCTTGCTTGTAACTATTGGGAGAGAAGAACATTGTGCCTACAGTTAGTGAGCTGGAGCTGAGAATCTGGCACAAGAAATTTCAACTCAGAGTCAAATTTATTTATGCTCAGCTGCAGGAAGTATGTCAGGAAGGTTAATGAGTCTAAATTGGCATTCTGTCTTCTGACTCAGAGCTGAATTGAAAACCACGTATAGTGATAAGGGTTAGCCTCTGCCAGATTTTGTACCACTTGTTGGAGTTTAGGACTTGGTAAATTTTTTGTGAGTGTGGAAGAATTTTGACTCCATAGAAATTATAAGCAAAACTCAGATTTCATAATTTGCTCAAACAATTTGTTTTGTTTTGTTTTGAGACAGGGTCTTGTTCTGTTGCCCAGGCTGGAAGGCACTGGTTCTATCATAGCTTACTGCAGCCCTTAACTTCTGGGCTCAAGTGATCTGCCCACCACTGTGGCTAGCCCTTTTTTTCCAACTGCAGAACAAGTAATATGTACCCTATGGTGATGTGGTGAGGGTTAAACATGAAAATACATGTGATGGACACAGCTGGTTCATAGTTAAGACCTTAAGAAATCATTAGAGCCATCATTTTTGTAACTGGTATGAATCTTTACAATTCTATTCAAAATTAGGACTGTTTTGTGTTTTAGAAAAAAAAAATATATGAGTTTTAGAGTAACTGCAAAAAGAATTACAAAGCCCATCTCCTCAAATGATCCTGACCTATTATTGTGCATCTCAATTCAGAAAGCATCTCAATACATCTAAAAGTCTATTAGTTGTATTTATTTCTTTAAATTTTATTGTTTCTAAAATAACTGAAGGTAGCTTTAGACGGAAGTGCTTACATGTACATCATTTCATTTATCCTCAAAATAATATTTTATATCAGGAGATATTACTTTCATGTTATACCTAATGTATATGTATATATATTTATTTAATCTGAGCTGTTCACGCTAATTCGCCATCCCAATTTTTTAAAATAAAACTGTAATTGTGTTCTACATACTCTTCTCCTGCTGCCAAAGTTAAATGCCTAAATATTATCTTATTGTGTATTCATCATCTTCAGCTGCTTTAACAAAATATCATAGACTGGGCGACTTAAACAACAGCCATTTATTTTCCTATAGTTCTGAGGGCTGGAAGTCTGAGATCAGGGCGCCAGCATAGTTGGGTTCCGGTGAGGGCACTCTTACTGGCTTGCAAGCTGCTGTGTCTTCCTATGGTGAAAAGGGAGATCTGATGTCTCTTTCTTCTTATAAGGACACCAGCGCTAATGGATCAGAGCTCCATTCTAATGACCTAATTTAACCTTATCCTTTCCTTAAAGGCTGTATCTCCAATACAGTCACACAGGTGGTTAAGGCTTCAACATATGAATTTGGAGAGGGGAAGGGAGTGGGCACAATTCAGCTCATAGCACATAATATGGACTGAATAACACATTTTAGGAGGAAAATTAACAGTTAATTAGCACTGTTACTGTGTACTTTGAAATTGCTAACTAACAATAAGCATCCAATTGATCTGTTTTTAATTTCTTCAGTTAAAATCTCAGTAAATTGATCCCAGGGTTATATAATTAGTTTTCCCAATATCTATTTTGCCCCCAGTTAACTTTTGTTACTTACTTCTACTTAAGTCGTGGTCACAGAATATGGTTGATACCTTTTTTAAAAAAATAATTCATTGAGACTTGATTTACAGCCTAGAATCTGACTAGTTACCATAAATGTTCCATGCATGCTTTAAAAGAGTAGGTATTCTTAATTTCTGGTCAGTATTGTACATATGCCCCTTCAACGAAGCTGATTAATTATGCTAAGTTTTTATATCTTATACATATTTTCCTTACTTGATCTATCAATTTCAGAGGGGGGAAATAATAAAAATTATGGCTTTATGATAAATATGCTTATATTTGCCTATGATTCTTTGTTTTTAGCTGTACATATTTTAAGGCTGTATTAGTTGATGTGAATGAGTTTAAACTTGCTATATCTTATTTGTTAATTGCTCCTTTCATAATTATGAAGTAACTCTCCATCTCTGTTATTTTTGTTTGTTTGTTTCCAAGCCTATATTTTCTGATATTAACATATCTATATATTACTTGGTTGGCCTATATTTTTTATCCAAATTTACCACTTGAAACAGCCCATAGTATATTTTTAATTTCAATATGGTAATTTTTCTTAGAACTGTTATGTTGAAGTATACGTACAGCATTATTTTCAGCTTTATATTGACCTTGCTTTTTCTCTAATTATGTTCATTTTATTTCTATTTTTATTATTTATATTTCATTATTTTTCTTTATTTTTTTTTCCTTCTGTTTCTTCTCTTCAGTTAACATTTAAAAATGCAAGATAAGGCCGGGCGCGGTGGCTCACGCCTGTAATCCCAGCACTTTGGGAGGCCGAGGCGGGCAGATCACGAGGTCAGGAGATCGAGACCATCCCGGCTAAAACGGTGAAACCCCGTCTCTACTAAAAATACAAAAAATTAGCCGGGCGTAGTGGCGGGCGCCTGTAGTCCCAGCTACTTGGGAGGCTGAGGCAGGAGAATGGCGTGAACCCGGGAGGCAGAGCTTGCAGTGAGCCGAGATCCCGCCACTGCACTCCAGCCTGGGCGACAGAGCGAGACTCCGTCTCAAAAAAAAATAAATAAATAAATAAATAAATAAATAAATAAATAAATAAATAAAAATGCAAGATACACTTTTAAATCAACAACAAAAGTACAACTTAATCAGTATTTTTATCCTACTCCTGAATAATACTGAATAACTAAGCTCTGATCATTTCCTCTAATCTCTTAATAATGTTGTAGACTAATATTTTGCTCTATTTTTTTTACTTCCAAATTGGGCAGTGTCATTTTTGTTGTTCTATGCAATGTTTGCTTAGATTTCCTGTATTTTTACCTATTTATTTTGTCACCATTTTATCTTATATTTTAGAGATTTTTTTATGGGATAATTCATGTGCTTTCTAAAGTATATTTTTAGAAGTTTAATCAATGAGAATCTGATCATGCTAAATTCTGCTTTATGATCTTCTTAAGTAAGATCTTTCTTAAGTAAGAAAGTCAGGAACAAAATTCTAAGTCAATAGCTATTTTCAGTTAGCATGTGAAAGATGACACTGTCTGGCTTTCACATTTACTGTTAGATGGCAATATAACTGCAGTTCCTTTACAGGTATTAGTTTCATAGAATTGCCATAACTAGTTACCACAAACTGGGTGGCTTAAAATGACAGAAATGTATTCTCACAGTTCTGAAGGCTAGAAGTTCAAGATCAAAATGTTGGCAGGGCCATGATCCCTCTGTAATCTCTAAAGGAAGATCTATTCCATGACTCTGTCCTAGTTTCTTTTTGCCAGCAATCCTTTACCTTTCTTGGCTTGTAGATGCATCACTTCGGTATCTGCCTCTACATTCACACTGTTGTCTGCCTTCTGTATATTTCTGTCTCAGTGCCTCTTCTTCTCTCTCTCTCTCTCTCTTTTTTTTTTTTTTGAGATGGAGTCTCACTCTGTCACCCAGGCTGGAGTGCAGTGGCACGATTTCAGCTCACTGCAACCTCCACCTCCCGGGTTCAAACAATTCTCCTGCCTCAGCCTCCTGAGCAGCTGGGATTACATGCACCTGCCACCATGCCCAGCTAATTTTTTGTATTTTTTGTAGGGACGGGGTTTCACTGTGTTAGCCAGGATGGTCTTGATCTCCTGACCTTGTGATTTGCCTGCCTCGGCCTCCCATCTTCTTCTCTTTTATAAGAATACTGGTGATAGTGAATTTACGGCCAGCTCTACTCCAGTATGACCTTTTCTTGATTTAACTAATTATATCTGCAAAGATCCTATTTCCAAATACAGTCACATTCTGAGGAAGGACATAAATTTTAAGGGAACACAATTTAACCCAGTACAGTGTTGTGCCTTTTTGTAAACTATCTATTTATCTTTGATTTTCTGTGGTTCTACTATGATATATATTTTTACATGTGGATTTCTTTATGTTGATCTCATTTGAGATTTTTTTTTTACCTATTTCTTATCAATTTAGAAGCTCTTAGCCTTTAGCTATTTGAATAGTGTCTACCTTTAGTCTCTTAATGCTCTCTTCTTGGAACACCAATTTAATGTATTTTAGACCTTCTTACCCTTAATCTTCCATGTCTCCTAAGTTCTTGCTATATTGTATATCTCCTTAACTCTGTATTTTATTCTGGATAATTTCTTCACTCTGTCTTCAAGTTTACTAATTCTCTCTTTCTTCCTGTCTAATCTGCTTTTTAATTCATTTTTTATAATTTTTGTGATTATACTTTTTATTTCTAGAATTTCTTTTTTACATTTCTTTCTGATATTTCTGACCATTTTTTAATATTTATAGTTTTTCTTTATGTTTTGCCTTTCTTGTTTTATTTTTATAAACATCATAAACATTGCTATTTTATAGTCTGTATCTTATGGGTCTGAAGTCCTTGGTATTTAATTTTGCTATTTGATTTTTCTGACTCCTTCATGTGGGATCATATTTGATTGAATTTAATTTGTGAAATCACAATTGACCTGGATGTTACATGTCTTCCTAAAGAGAAAATACATGTTTACATGACCCAGGCCACCACTGAGATATCTTCACTTGAGTTATTCAGATTCACACAGGTAGTAAAAATTAAAACAACTAACCAATTTGACTAAGTTGTCAATTTTTAAGAGGGCTTTCACATTTAATTTTATACCCTGAGTCAAGACGAAGCCAGCCAATTCTTGTGTTGGTTTCCTTGATGATCTTATAAGTTTTCCTGTTTCACCTTTACACTGAAGTGTAAACTTTCATAGGCACATGATTTGTTCAAGGATCTCAGTTGTATCTTCTAGCTAGCAGAGACCCAAGGTTCTGTCTTTCATTCACCATGTGTCTATTAAAACTCAAGACCTGGACTGGTTCTTGTACTGTAAAAAACCTCCAGAGCCATCCCAAGGTCAGTCCATGTTTACTACTCTAGTTTTATTCATTCTTTTGTTTAATAAATGTGTACTGACAACTTGCTAGGTGCCTGGCACTAAAAAACAGAGCAGAGTCTCCACTCTGCCTGGCTCCCATTCTGTTTGTGGTAATGCCAACAAATAAAATATGAAAGGTGGTGACAAGTGCTAAGAAGAAAAATTAAGTGAAAAGAGAAAATAAAGAATAATTATATTTTATGAAGAGTAGCCGGGAAAGGCCAACATGATAAGATGTTCTTTGATCAGAGACCAGTGAAAGTGAGGGAGTACTTAGGTGGATATCTGGATGGAATAGACACAAGTAGAAATCACTGAGATGGGAGCTGTTTGAAGAGCAATGAGGAAATTGGAGATAAAGTCAGAAAGATGGGGAGTGTGGTAGTGAGGAGTTTCAGTAAGGGGAAAATCATGAAGGATCTTGTGAACCACTGTGAAGTATTTTTATTTTACACTAAGTGATAAAATCTGAGGAATGATGTGATATGACTTACAGTTCTCTGGACCACTGTAATTTTCATTTCTCATCTTGTGACCCCACTGTGTTTTTAAAGAATATCTTATTTATTGAATGCATGTGGGATATTGTATCTTTCAGTAAGCATAATCCATCAGAAATATAAATCCACCTGTATTTATTCAATTTATATCACTTTAATGTATATTATCATGATCGAGATTTGAGAATAGACTTTTTAACATCTGAAGTCTAATGATTTGCTTTAATATATTTTTAGCCATAAGCAGCTATTTATCTCATTCCTGTGATATGCTGCTTTTTTAATGTGAATATAATCTTGTATTGATCACACACAATCTCAGGGAATTTTTCCCCCTTTGGATAGTGTCACAATTGGAGTTCACCTACTTTTAATAACCTAGACTGTGCTAGTGACCATGTAGTACCCTAAGTATTGATTAGAATGCAGAGGGGCATATTGGAGAATACCAAGAGACTTTTGTCTCTTTCTACTTAGTTCAACCTGTAATTTCATTTCTTCCTTTGATTAAATTATGCAAGGCTAGAATTTAAATGGCCTATCTTAAAAGTGAACTGGAAGTTTTTTGGTTTTTGTTTTTTTATTATACTTTAAGTTCTGGGGTACATGTGCAGAATGTGCAGGTTTGTTCCATAAATATACATGTGCCATGGTGGTTTGCCCCCATCATGCACCCATCAACCTGTCATGTACATTAGGTATTTCTCCTAATGCTATCCCTCCCCTAGCCCCCAATCCCCCAACAGGCCCTGGTGTGTGATGTTCCCCTCCCTGTGTCTATGTGAGTGAACTGGAAGTTTTTGACAGGTGTTTGGCATAGGACTGGGGTTTCATCAGGATGTATAAATCAGTTATACCTACTTCTTTTTTAACTTCAAATTTTCATATCGTATTAAATTTCTTATGATATGAAAAAATTATCATTTCATAAACAAGAAATTTGGCAGATTCTATTGCTTTTAATTACATTGTGTGGTGAATCACAAGCAGTATTTTGAATAAAGAATAACTTTACATCTCAAAACTGCTCAACAGTGTGGTCTTAAAGACAATTTAAAAATTAGGAGTTCGAATGTAAGTTAGATTTCAACTCAATGTACTGCTACCAATGGAGGGAATTAAATCGAGGTGACAATTTGGATGAACCCGAGACGTTCTAGCATAGCTAAAATATAATTAGTGGGGTTGAACAATAGTAATTTTGTCAATACTGTTTCCTATACTTGGAGTCTGGCAAGTTTATTCTCCAGGTTGATTCTAAGATACATCTTGAATGCATAAATATTAATATGCGAGTTAAAAAAGAGGATATGGAGGAGGGAAGGGATCTTAGCATTAAAGAAGCAGGATTTTAACTACTCCAAGGCTGGCTTTATGTTTATTCAAACTTTTTTGGGTATGAAGCAAATGTTACGTAGGTATCTAAAGATGGAACTACTAATATATTTCTGCTTTATGAAGAGAAGACTGAATGGTTTTCAGTGAGGGAAAAATTTTTACAAGAAACTCTCCTGGTTACTTTATAGCTGTAATCCTTCAAACACAGTTGGTACATCAGTCTTACTATTAGATAGCATATGAAATATAACACTGACCCAGAAATCATAAAAGTGGTTCAAAAGGTGACTGTTTTATTATGACCACTATGTCCTAAACTATTTGGGAAATGACCAAAAAATGCTTTTGAGTTGATACACTAGCATACTTATACTGGCACAGCAGGAATGTGTGTACACAAATATGAGTGTACTGTATCATGTCTTGCTGACCTTGTTGAGAAAGACTGATTCTGCAAATAACAAAAGGATATAAAATTGCAATTTTTATCAAGTCAAGACATCATCCATCAAGGGAAAAGTTTAAACACCATTAAGTCTAAAAAATAAGATTCCCTTTCAGGGTATTTGAGACACCGAGTTGTCAAAGTTCTACATGGTATGGCCTCAAGACTAGAGCATTAGTAAGTACTTACTCAAAAGCATTTACTAAGTTAAAACCAAAAGATGTCTAGTTACTTATCTACCCAAAGTGTTTCCAGTCAGCTGCTCCACTGATTTTTGTCCTCCCCTTCGAATTGTTTTAATATAAGTATTTAAAGTTTGCTAATTTTGCTAATTTGGATACATTTAAAAATTTTAAAGTTGTTTTTCCTGGGGCCCCATGTAATATTCCTAAAGACTTTAAGATTCTATAGTTCTTGAACAAAATTTCCAGAGAAATTCATCTCCTTCTGATAACTGTGGAAGCCAATAAACTACACTTGCCTTCTTCATCTTCTCTGAAATCCTCCCAGTCAAGCCTTGTTGGACTCCACCCATTTCACCAGCCTGTCATCATTTCAGGGAGGGTCGTGGGCCCTTATGAAAGAAGGTGGGACCAGATTGTCATCAAGACTTGCACTGTCAGTGCTAGTAATCCTAGCATTTTGAGAGGCCAAAACAGGAGAATCACTTACAGCCAGGAGTTTGGGACCAGCCTGGGCAAAATAGTGAGACTTATTTCTATTAAAACAAAAAAAAAAAGAAAAGCAAAAAGACTTGCATTGTTCAGTAGAGCAATAGAGTAGCAACCAGACACATGTGGGTCATTTGAATTTATATTCAAATTAATTAAAATTATATTAAAGTAAAAATGTATGTCTTCAGTTACGCTCACCACATTTCAAGCACTCAGGAGCCCATGTGGCTAGTGATCATCATCACAGAGGAATATTTCCATCCTCACAGAAAGTTCTGCTGGAAAGCATTGGTTCAGGCCAAACAAAGAAACCAAACAATCCTTCATCTAAAATTTATGAGCATGTTAAGACCTCATTTAAACCATTATATATTACTCAGAGTTTCAAAAAGTCACCAATGCACAAAAAAAAAAAAAAAAATAGTATTTCAATTCATCATTTTCCTCCCACTGTTAACCTGAGCAAAGAATGATCAAAAAGTATGTAGGAGAAGCAAAGGAAGTGAAGAACCAATCAGCAGCATTCTTTTATTTTGAAGACAGTTGTACCTCCATTTCCCTGTATAACAAGTTATCTGTGAAAATAAAAGTCTGCTAAATTTTGAAATACTGATTTATTTATTTGTTTTCTGCTTCACATTGTTGTGTTGTTTTCCATGGTCACAAATAAGCCAGAAACCATTTGCTGTGGAGATTTATGTGACAACACTTATTTTAAAGTAATAGCGGGTGTCTCATTAATCTCAGTTGTCTATTCTTTTTTTGCTTATCTCCTGGCATTGATTCAAGGCTAATGTAATTAAATGATCATCCTGAAAGAAATGAGCTTCAAAGCAGTTTTACACTTTTTATTAAAATATGACATGATGAAAACTACACAAATCATAAGTGTACAGCTCAATTAAATATCACCAAATGAACATACCAGTGTAAGTCCCACCCATTTCAAGCCCCTAAAGCCCCCTGTATGTGCCCTCCCAATAATTACCCCTTCCTTTTTTCTCAGAAGTAGCCACTGTCCTGACTTCTTACATTTCAGATGAAGTTGTCCTATTTCTGGGATGGAATTATACAATGCCTTTTTTAATGTGTGATGTCATTGGCTCAATGTTATGCTTGTGATATACCAATATTGTTGCATGTGATTGTATTTCTTTCATTTTTATTGTTGTCTAGTATTCCATTGTATGCATATACCATAAAACCCACTCTACTATTGATGGACATGTGACTTGCTGTATTGTTATGGACACTTTTGTACCTTTCTTGTATTCAATAATGCACACACTCTTGTTTGTTATACCTCTTAATGCATTTTTATTTTTTGCATTTTAAAGTGGAAGTGACTTGAGACAGAATGCATAATTCAGCTGTCCCTATTTTACAAATGCAAAGTGTGCAAAGTTTGGGATTTCTATTGTCAGTGTTGGTGTTGTTTTAAAGAAGTTATAATGTGCTTTTTCAGGAATATCTGGTTCAGAATGGGGCAGGTCTGCCACAACAGAACAGTAAGAATTCTGCACCCTTAATAAATACACTCGCCAGTGTCTAAACAAGTAACAAAGACTCATAAAGCACTGTCTGTAATTCTCCCAGCTTCTAGCTATGATTAGAGTCAGTTGCCACAATGTCCAAAGATAATGCCAGCCACTAAAGCAGAACCCAGGGTCTCATCCCCCATTTGTGCTCAGAGAGGCACTAGGTTTTGGGGACAGTTTGGAAAAATGACCTCAAGGTTTTTGTGTATGTTAAGTGCATCTTTAACAAATCCCTGGTTTGCGCATCAGAAGGAGAGGGAATTGGGCAGGAGCATAGGTGAGATAGGGACATGGAAGATCCCATATTTTGGTTTCATGGTCAACCTCTTGGATATGAGAGGTTTTTTTATTATTTGCAGCATAGGGTCAAGACAAATGTTATATTCTTCCTTGTGAGTTGAGTAAAGGAGAAAAAAAGAGAATTAAAGATCAGTCTTTTGTTCTCATTGTTGGCACATTTAGCCACTTGATAAGCCATTAATTAGAAAATGAAGAGCTGAGTGGATTCAGGGAGAAAGAGGTCATGCTTTCCCAGCATTATCTCAAAGTTTAGCTTAGAAACAATCATTAACAAATATAAAGGGCAACACCTATGCAGCTAGCTCCACAAGCTATTCTTGACACGCTGGGGCTCCCTACAAGCAACAAGCAAGGGAAGCCATTGATTGGGAGGGTCTGGGTAGGCTTCTGAACAGAACAAGTAGATTATATGTAGATTTTACCTCCTATCTGAGCAAATAGAATGCATTCTGGGAATTTACATATTTCTAATGTTCAAGCATAGTTGGGATTGGGATTTTTTAAATAATAAATTGAATAAAAATAAAAATTCTTAGCATACACCACCACCCTAGATCTACTTAAGTCTGAATCCCTGGGGATGGAGCCCAGGAATCCTTGTTTTTGATAAGTTTACAGGAAATTCTAATATGCAGTCAGCATCGGAATGATTCTAAATAGAGCCTGGTGGTGTTTGGATTATCTTTGCTCTATATGATAAAGGGTTATTAGATTGCATTGTTGGATTGTTTAATAGGATTGAAAAGGTGGCATAACTTAAGAAAATGGGTTTGTAATTTTTATTTCTGTATTTTACATTAACCAGAAAACAGTGTGTGCCATAGTTAAATGTCTTATTTGGAGGCAGCTGGTTCAAGCTGCAAACACATGATCCCTGGAGCTCAAGAAAAGGCAGAGACGAGTGTGTCTGGTAGAGTCAAGTCTGAAACAGTGGCTGGATGTTCCACACAAACTACCCCAGGGGCTTCAGGGTGAACATCAGTTATTATCTTGGGATATAATACACTGATGTCTTTGGGGACTACTGCAGTGCATTATTAATCTGAGTGGTCTCCTAATTCATCTGTATGATTTTTAGGATTCATTCATTTATAGATATTTATAAATTTTAATGAATATTTATTGATCACCTAGTACCATGCCAGGTATTAGGCTAGATATTTAGAAATACAAGAAGGAAGACAAGGTCTCTGACATTTAGATGTTATTCCTCCCTTATTTTTAACTGTTGTTTCTTATTCCTACAAATGTCCTCTTGCAGCTGTCCATGTGCTGAAAATCTATGTTGCTAAGTCAGAAACATTATTTTTCATTCAATTCTGAGTCAGTAGTCTCGCAAAAGGACCTGTTTTACACTCAGGGTTCCTAAGAAGTAACCTATTGCTTTTTTCTCTCTGTTTTCCTCTTTCTTTCTTTCTTTTTCTTTCTTTTATTGGCTTTTGACTGAGTTATTGATGGCTGGAGTTGCTGAATGTTTCACTCAGAAAAATTTAGATTCTGTGAAGAGATGGGATCCTTTGTGAGTTACTTAGAGCCACAGAAATATTTTCCACCTAGATTCTTGTGATTTTTCTTAATAATTGCTCTCCTTTGGAGAAATCTGAACTTTTCATTTCGCTTTCTAAAACTCTTAAGTTACTTCCTATAACTTTCAGCATAAAGATCAAACTCCTTAGCTTATCTCTGGAGACACTGGGGAACTAGGTCTTGCCTTATCTCCTAGTACTCCTTTATATTCCCCACATCACCAAACCATTTACATAGTTCTGTGATAGTGAGGCAGGAGAATAGGGTCTGGGGGCAGGGAACTTTTTTTTTTTTTTTTAATGTTTTTTTTTTTATTATACTCTAAGTTTTAGGGTACATGTGCACATTGTGCAGGTTAGTTACATATGTATTCATGTGCCATGCTGATGCGCTGCACCCACTAACGTGTCATCTAGCATTAGGTATATCTCCCAATGCTATCCCTCCCCCCTCCCCCGACCCCACCACAGTCCCCAGAGTGTGATATAACTTAAGGCCAATTAACGGGAACTTCCTAAAGCTAAACCAAAATGAAAAACCCCACCTCCCCACACCCAAGAAACAAAGGATCAAAGGCTACTCTACCTACAACCTCCCCCTTCCACCACATCTCAGATGGAAAAGGAAAGTGCCTTGGAGTGGCCACAGGCCACACACGGGCCACCACTTCATCTGCATATGGTGTCAATCTGCTCTAGTATTGGGTTAGCCGCAGGCCAATTCACCTCAGCCTTTAATTAGCCACGAGCCAAATCCTTCATCCGGATAAAAGGTAGCTGATAAGAACCTCAAAAGAATACTTAATGTATACATATGTAACTAACCTGCACAATGTGCACATGTACCCTAAAACTTAAAGTATAATAAAAAAAAAAAAGAATACTTAAACCCCAAAATCTTTGTAAAGGAGGCCCTTGAGCCCCTTGCTCGGGCCCACTCCCGCCCTGTGGGGTGCTTTCTTGCTTTAATAAATCCTTGCTTTCGCTTCTTTGTTCCTGGGTTTCATTCCTCTGTTACTTTGTGCATTTTGTCCAATTATTTTTTCAAAACCCCAAGGATCTGGACAATTCACACTCAAGGCCTGCCTTCTGATAACAATAGCAGCATGCTAGTTTATTCCAACATCTTGTCTCATACAAGTCCTCTGTCTAGCTCTCACTAACTACTCTCAATTTTCAAAACTCGGTTCTGTTTCAAGAAAACTTCCATGATGACTTATGAATTCAGATTCTCTTTAATTGTGTTCCTATAGTACTATGGTGCTACAGTACTCTGTACTTTCCTTTAATTTGGGGACTAAGTCTTTCTAGACGGTCTAGCCTTCTTCAGAACAAAGCATATGCTCAGAGGAACTGGGACAAAGTAGATATTGAATAAATACAAAAATCAGTGGGAGCAGGATCCGTTCTGGTTTTGCTGAATCCTCATTGCTTGTAACATGGTGGCATTAGACAAATGTTGGCTAAAAGAAAGATGAGTAAAATGAGCTAGTTGTGCTTTTATTTCTTGTTTTCTGAGCACTTCTTATTATGTAAGGATCTATTAAAAACGAGGTGCATTCATTTATACAAGTACACACGTACTACCAGTTGACTACCTGTTTTAATAATATTAATGCTACAAATCAGTGATGACATTAGTTAGTTGATCCATTTATGGTTTTGAACCATTACCCAAAATGTTATCTAGTCATAAGATAACTTGTGTCCTTTTTATCTGTGCTAGTCAATCTGGGAGCTGTTGCAATGAATTAATTAAATTTGAGTAAATTTTAAAATGTATCTATTCAATTTCATTAGTGACAGGCTAAGTTCTCAATAGCTTTATGTAGATAGTGGCTGCCAAACCAGAAACACAAATACAGAATATTAAATTTTATATAGAATATTAAATTTAAATCAATGATGTAGTGGCAGGTTCACAAACTGGAAATTTACCCTCTTTGCTTCTATTTTTCAGAAGTAAAAATTTGAGGAGAAATACAGTAGTCAGAAGTAAATATTATTCAAAACATGACTATTTCTACATAAATCTACTTATAGAACCCAAAAAGTATTTGCTAAATTAACCAAGTGAATGTTAAAGAATATACTCATTAGATGCTCCTTAAAAAAACCCCTCAGATTTCTCTCTTATATCTCTAACATTGGATTTTGATGTAACTCAGAATGTGGTAGTTCCCAAGTAATGGTAAAATATGCATAATTATAGGATTTATGTCATTTTAATACACTTCACTTGAGCTGGTAGTTTTTCATAAAATCTTTTTTTAATACATATAATTTTGTAGGACTATTTTCTTTAAGTAAGGCTCAGAAATACTATTTATAGGTAAAACACAAAGATAGTAGATGAGGATTAATTAAATCATAACATTTTGATGCATTTATTCTGAAATGTTTAATTGATATTATAACATGTTGTGTACCACCTTTGAAACCAGGAAGAAAGAGCTTTCAAAAGTCCTTTCACTTCATTCATAAAACAAACATTGAAGATATATGTGCGCTATATATATAACATTTTAACAAATAGTGCAAATAGTTCCTCAAACTTTTCTATTGGGTTATTAAAGTTTGTCTTAGATAAAGAAAGCACATTTTTTGGATAATCTGTCCTCTATTGTACTGGATAAATCTATAGGAAATAGAAATATACAAGCCATAAAAGCTCAAACCAGATAAAATCCTGATACCATTTCTATTGGTTTTTCTAAAACAGGATTTCAGGAGCTTGAAACTTCTTGGGTCAAACAGAGTCAGCTGTTAGAGGGTTTTTCCACATAAGATTGCCTTCACCATTGTCAACTTTGTATTAGATTTCTTCTCGTACAAAATATAGCTTTGCTAAATAAAGAAATACGAGGAAAGTGGTACAGGAAAAAAGTGGCATTTTTCTTCCTCTGCCCAGATCTTACAGTCGGCTCCAAAACACAGCCCAGACCTCTCTAATTTAAAATGCCTCCTTCTCTGGTAACAAATCTTCCTTGGAGTGTCTCTTTCCTCTTCTGAAGTAGAAGTCCTCATAGCTGATCTCGTTTCCTCCATCTTCTAACCCTCTCTTTCTCAATGCCTGGAGAAGCAACCAGTGCTAGCTCATGTTTCATGTGGCTCCTAGAGTTTCCATGCCCATGGGTTTTTTTGTTTGTTTGGTTGGTTGGTTGTTTTTTAAGGAATAATAATAACTGGCACATATCACATATCAAGAACTTATTATATGTAAGCATGGTACAAGTGCTTTATCAAACAGTCCTCCTAACTACCCTTGGAGGTAGTTTGTCCAGTGTACAGATTTGAAAGTGAGGTGTAGAAATGAGTCACATGGTTAGTATGTGCTAGAGCCAGAATTTGAACACAGGCAGAGATTGAGCTCTTTACTATAACAGTGCCATCTTTGGAAAAGCACTCTCAATTCCCTTCAGATTCAACCAATGTCTTCAGAGCTGTAAACCATGAAAATGATTACCTACCTGTTCCAAAAGGGTTAAAGAATATCATTGAAAACTCTCTCTTCTACCTCTGCAACTTGACTCCTCCAATTTCTGTCCAGTTATTAAGTCATAAAATAAATAATTCCTTTCATATTTTAGGGACACTGTTATCTGATTATCCATTTACTTACCAGAGAAATGGTGAAATCATGAAACATGTTATTTTATTTATAGTAAATAGATCACAGGGAACAGACATTTCTCTGCATAAGCTAAACAAATAGCCAGTAAGCACATGAAAATGCTGAAAATAGTTAGCCATCAAGAAAATGCACATCAAAACCACAATGAGGCCAGGCACGGTGGCTCGTGCTAATCCCAGCACTTTGGGAGGCCAAGGCGGAGGTTGCAGTGAGCCAAGATTGTGCCACTACTCCAGCCTCTGCAAGGGAGTGAGGCTCTGTCTCAAAACAAAACAAAACAAAACAAAACAAAACACCACAATGAGATACAGCTTCATATCTGAATAGCTATAATTAAAAATAAAAAAACAAGTGATGACAGTGTTACTAAGCAATCAATGGGCTCATTGCCCAATGCACATAGAGGTCATAGTGCTGGCTTTTGAGAAAAGAAAAGCTTTATTGCAAATCCACTGGCAGGGAGATAGAAGGAAGCCCTCAAATCTGTCTTCCTGCCCTGGGGTTTGGGTAGGGTTTTATAAGCATAGGGTAATGAGATGTGATCTGATTGGATCTTGCAATGAGCTGATGTTGAGGGCATGATCTGACTGGATCCTACCATCATAGGGTGGTGCCACGGCTTGATCTGATTGGAACCTGGACCCTGCCATGCAGTGTTCACTTCTTAATTCAGTCCCCAACCCTCAGTCTGAAAACTTAGGTTCCCCCCACCACCCTCCAGCCTGTGGTTGCACACTTGCTTCATCTGGGCATGCTCAACCTGGGAGTCCATGGCAACTGAAAAACTCACAACTTTGTTACAAAAAAACAGAATCAGATTGGTCTATTGCAGTTACAAGAGGATGTAGAGAAACTGGAACCCTCATTTGTTTTTCGGGGGAATGTAAAATAGTTTGGTCGTTTTGGAAAACAGTCTAATGGTTCCTCTGAAGTTAACATAAAGTTCCTATATGATGTAGCAATTCTACTCCTAGGTATATACCCAAGAGAAATGAAAACATATGTGCACACAAATGTTCACACCGGCACTATTCATAATAGCCTGAATGAAAACAACACAAATATCCATCAACTGGTGAATGAATAAATAAAATGTGGTATATTCATACAAAAGAATACTAATTGACAATAATGCTACAACATGGATAAATTTTTTTTAAAAATTATGTTAAGTAAAAGAAGCTGAAGACCATACGTTGTATGATTCACTTTTTAGGAAATATCCAGAATATCTATAGTGAGGAAAAGTAGAACAGTGGTTGCCTAAGGCTGAGAGTAAAAGAGTAGGAAGTGGATCCAGTGTTTCTTTCTGGGGTGATGAATATGTTCTAAATGTAGGTGTGGTGGTGGCTGCACAACTCTATGACTATCGTAACAACCATTACATTGGATGCTTTAAATAGGTGGATCTTATGGTGTGTAATTTATATGTTGATAAAAATGTTAAAAAAAGACACCATGGGAAAAATAGGTCACAGGATTGTTTAAATTAGATATTGACTAGAATTACTTTATATATATATATAAAATTTGGCCAGGCGCAGTGGCTCAGTCCTGTAATCCCAGCACTTTGGGAGGCCGGGGCAACAGATAGTTTGAGCTAAGGAGTTCGAGACCACCCAGGTCATGGCAAAACCCTGTCTCCACCAAAAATACAAAAACTTAGCTGGGCATGGTGGTGCATGCCTGTGGCCCCAGCTACTCAAGAGACTGAGGTGGGAGGATCGCTTGAGCCTGGGAGGCTTAGGATGCAGTGAGCCAAGATCACGCCATTGCATTCCAGCCTGGGTGACAGAGAGAGATCTTGTCTCGATTAAAAAATATATATTTAGTTTTATGGATTTCTTATAAATTATTGTTATTCCATATAAGTATGTCTTCATTCTAAGTTTTGGTTTTCATTGCCTCTATAATCCTAAAACCCAAGTCTAGTACTTGGTTCTTGGGAGAAAAAACAACAAGAAAAAACATAAGGGCAAAAGATTGATTTCATAAATTTTTCACTGTTGCCCAAAAATCACATGTTCTAGACCTGTAATGACCTTCATCACTTAGTGAAAATGATGCCTAATATTTCTCCACATTCAGCCCTCAGTGTGGATACTGTTCGACCTTATTACTTGTCTCTTTCATAAAACTGAATGATATAATGGGGACAGTAAGGGCTTGGAAGTCAGACAAACTTGGATTCAATGGTGCTTCCACCTCTTATGAGCTGTTGTGACTTAGGGCAAATTAGTCAACTTCCTCCAATTTTAGTGAAGTTAAAGATGCTGCGTGTCAAATGCCTGGCATTTCGTAGGTTCTCAATACATGCTGTTTGTATGTTATTTATGACCCAACCTTCCAAAAGAGGACATAGAACTCATAAGTGGCATGTGTTGGTTCTGGAACACTTGCAAGAGCCTTGCTACTAACTCCCTCCCTCAAAAATAAATAACTCCACTCCCCCTAATCTTGTGGCTGATGTCTGAAATTGCACTATTATAGTCTCTTTCCATCAACTCAAAGTATTTGCTCACTGTGTAAATTAAAATGCCTATTGGAATTAAAAAACATTTTAAATAATTATATTTCATGTCTATATCAATATGTTATATTTCATTTTTTATTAAAATAAAAGACTAGACAAAAAAGCTTCCATAATGTGGTGGGGAAGACACAGAAGACTTTCTGAACAGCTGGAAATGAACTGGAGACAGCTCCTCCTGCTTGGGGTGACCAGCCATGATCATATATGTGGAGTAAGTCTGTGGTTTTGTGGGGAAAACAAAACAACAACAAAACAAAAAAAGTAACTATTCCTCCCTCATTCTTTCCTGCCTCCTCTCTTCTTTGAAGAGACCACTCTTCAGCCCTGGTCATTTGTGAGCCTTTGCCACAGTGCTGGCCCTGAAAGGAGATCAGTTTCACAATCCTGCTTGGCTGGCATGGGCTGAGTCACTGACCAGCCCATCAATCCCCTTCCTTCTATGTAATCCTGGGTAAATGAAAGAATGGGCAAGAGATGCAGATAAGCCTCTTTTTTCCTCTACCCGGAATAATCCAGCTTGAATTCCTCAGGACGAGTAGTTTTGGGCCATTTTATTTTACTTTATTCTTTAACTTTTAGGTTCAGGGGTCCATGTGTAGGTTTGTTATACAGGTAAACTGCGTGTCGCGGGGCTTTGGTGTACAATTAATTTTATCACCCAGGTAATAAGCATAGTACCCAAAAGGCATTTTTTTCTGATCCTCTCCCTCTTCACCCCCATCAAGTAGGCCCCAGTGCCTGTTGTTCCTCTCTTAGTATGCATGTGTTCTCGTTCGGCTCCCCCTTATAAGTGAGAACATGCAGGATATGGTTTTCTGTTCCTGTGTTAGATTGCATAGGATAATGGAGCTTTGGCCATTTTAAACCAAGGTTATCACTGGCCAAAGCTCAACTAGCTTGCTTGTGTCAGTACAGGCACTAACTAGGGGAAAAGTTTCTAAAAACATGTTTATCTGAAAATGATGACAATGAAATCCCCACCAATCAAAGATCCTATAAGCCATCTTCCTTCCAATTCACAAAACATTCTAGTTAAGCACATTTGTTTCCCCCATAGGCAAACAAAGCCCCAATTAGGACTGGAATGCAAGTAGTCTGAACACATGTGAAAAGGGAAGATTCTTAAGTTCCCAATTTTTCTTTACAACCTTTTTTGTTTGTTTGTTTGTTTGTTTTTTCTTTTTAGAGGAAGGCTAGAGTGCAGTGGTGCAATCTTGGCTCACTGCAACCTCTGTCTCCCTGGTTCAAGGTATTCTCCTGCCTCAGCCTCCCAAGTAGCTGTGATTACAGGTGCCCGCCATCAGGCCCGGCTAATTTTTTGTATTTTTAGTAGAGATGGGGTTTCACCATATTGGCCAGGCAGGTCTCAAACTCCTGATCCCAAGTAATTTGCCCACCTCAGCCTCCCAAGTGCTGGGATTACAGGCATATATTACACCCAGCCATCTTTACAGCCTCTTGATGGTTTGATGTCACCACTTGAAAGGCCTTGATTTGAATTTAAATTGTTGTTTGCTAGAAATGTTTTGAGTTCACTCATTTAAGGCCAATGAAAACTTTCAAGAAAAAAAAAGTTAATTTGCTTAATTTACAAATGTTGATTTGGTTAATTTGTACTCTTAATTATGATTAGGTTCAAAGACAAGGTTAAAAGCACAAATTGCAGTATAGAGTTTTGCTACCATTTCCAATACATTTACTGAAAATGAAGTAACAGAACAAACACTGGGCTGATCCTTTGAACTATTCTTGTTATACTGGTCCTTTCTTTTTGACACTTTAGAATACTTAGATGAGGTTTGAAAAATTGTTAGCAGCAGAATTCTGTTGAGGGTTTATTCACACTGAATCATAAGCATGCTGATTTGACAGCTTCAAAATTTCTTCTAGAAATCTTGTTTCTAGTCTAGATAAGCTCTGTGTGATGTTAGGCAATATTTCTGGGTTATAGGGAAAGACATTTACAAAAGAAAATGGAGTACCCAGATGTTAGCATTCCTATCTGGATAGTATATCCTACCAGAAAAATAATGAGATTTGTGGGATTAGAGAACAATTTAGGTTTTATGAGATAATTTTTTGACGAATGGTGGTGGCATTCATTCCAGAGAGTCACAGCTTGGCTGAAACAATTTTTGGTGTGCCATGTTTCTGGTGATCATATATAATAAATATAAATGTTTCTACCAATTCAATACAACTTCTTCTCCATATCTAAGGAAAAAAGGGTTACACATATGGACAAAATACATTCAGGTGTCTTCCCCAAACAACAATAATTTCAATTATGCTGTCTTAGGTTTCCCAGTAGATCCAATGTTCACTCAATTATCTGTGAAGGAACAAGATTTTTGTTTGTCTGCTTGCTTGTCCAATGTGGCATCTAATACATGGGCTATCTCCTATTTTCCTCAGATTGGGTAAGGATTTTTGCCAATTCTTGATTTTCTCTGCTAGTGGAAGGGAAGCCATGTAGGTAAATTAAAAATCCCTTCTATTTGTCATAATATTAATTTTATGGTGCTTTTATTTGTTGTTGTCATTGTTTTCACTTTCTTGTAGGATTAAAGCAGTGCTTTTCAAACATTTATTTGCATGTGGATCCTTGGGGATCTTATTAATATGCAGGCTTTGATTCAGCAGGTCTGGGTGGGCACCTAGATTCTGCATTTCTAACAGGCTCCCAGGTGATGCTGGTGCTGCTGGTCTAAGGAGCACACTTTAATTAGCAAGAGATTAGGGTATATTCTGTTCTCCTCAGTATATAACATCACAAGGAAGGGGAAGGAGGAGGACTGGAATGGTGGCAGGCTGGTGTCTCTCCTGCGTAATCCCGTGGAGGTTAAAGGGAGACAACTATGGCAGCACCAAACCTCAGATAACATTTCCTCAAGGATTTTTCTTCCTCTGCCTGAAAAATTTCTGTGAGGAAATTAAAGCATTGACCTGCTTTGTCTAAAATTGCCAGTAACAATCCTTTTTTTTTTTTTTTTTTTTAGTGAAACAAGGATTTGGATGCTTACAAAGTATCAGGGTAAATTCTAGATTTTAAAGATTTTTAAAGTATTTTAAAAAATTACCTTGCCCCCACAGTATTTAACAATGTTGTATTTTTAGCTCCTTTTATAAAATCTTGTAGAAACAGTCAACATAGTTTTCACAGAAATAACTTTTTCACACTCATGCTAATATCAGTCAATCAATCTATATAAAACAAAAAATAGTACAATTGGTATAAACTGGTTTACCATCTGATATGGTTTGGCTCTGTGTCCCCACTCAAATCTCATCTTGTAGCTCCCATAATTCCCATGTGTTGTGGGAGGTACCTGGTGGGAGATGACTGAATCATGGGGGTGGTCTTTCCCATGCTGTTTTCATGATAGTGAGTGGGTTTCATGAGATCTGATGGCTTTAAAACAGTGGTATCCCTGCACAAGCTCTCTCTGCCTACTGCCATCCATATAAGACATGACTTGCTCCTCCTTGCATTCCGCCATGCTTGTGAGGCTTCCTCAGCCACGTGGAACTGTGAGTTCTCCATTAAACCTCTTTCCTTTGTAAGTTTCTGAGTCTGGGGTATGTATTTATCAGCAGCATGAAAACAGACTAATACACCATCAAACACAGTTGACATAATAAATCTATCTACTATCTATCTATCTATCTATCTATCTATCTATATTTCAAAGCATTCAAGATAGTTTTCAGAGAAATAACTTTTTATTTTTACAATCATATTTCATACATACACACATTATCTATACCTATGTTTGTGCCTATATGCATATTCATATATTATAATAATAGATAAAACCAGCATAGATTTGTTTGGGAACAAACATGATTTACATGATAAATATAACATGGGCATAATGAAGAGTAACTCATTCATGACAATCATCAAGTTTGGTGGGTGCATAGAAGAACCATTATGCTTTGCAAAGGGTTGGAGAATATGGATTAATCCCATACAATGTGTAAGTGGTGCTCAGGTAAGATAACTACTCTTAACAAACAAACAAGAAAGACAACAAGATTATGAGAGAGAATTGGGAGACCATTTAAATTTACGTTTGCTTTGTCTGTGGTTTCCCAGGTGTTCAGGAAAAGGCCTCTGAGTAAGTGCTATACTATGTAAGCCAAGACCTGAGTAAAGAGAATCAACTAGCCATTCAAAGGCCTGGGGAAAGAGTGGGTGATGAGCAAGAGAAACTCCAAGTACAGAGATGAAAATGAGTCTGGCAAATTCAATTAAATAAAACTAGGCCCAAAATATTTGTAGAAGTGAGTAAGGGGCCAACGGTAGTGTGCGACATTGGTATACTTAAGGCTTGTATTAGTTCATTCTTGCATTTCTATAAAGAAATACCTGAGATGGGGTAATTTATAAAGAAAAGAGGTTTAATTGGCTCATGTTTCTGCAGGCTGTACAGGAAGCATGATGCTGGCATTGACTTGGCTTCTGGGGAGACCTCAGGGAACTTAGAATCATGACAAAGGGAAAGGGGCAGCAGGCACAGGACCAGAGCAGGAGCAAGAGAGCAGAGGGGGAGGTGCTGCACACTTTTAAATTACCAGATTACATGAGAACTCACTCACTAATAAGAGGACAGTACCATGGGGGATGGTGATAAACTATTCATGAGAAATCCACCCTCATGATCCAATCACCTCCCACAAGGCCCCTCCTCCAACACCGGGGATTATATTTCAATATGAGATTTGGGTGGGGACACATCCAAACTATATCAGGGCTATATAGGACACATAAGGATTTTGAATTTTATTCTAAGAGCAATGTAAGCCATGAGAGGTTTTAACAGGGAAATAACATGATCTGGTTAAGGGCTTTTGTTTTGTTTTGTTTAAATTACTGTGCCTGTTATATGAAAGTTTATATAGTGGGTCATTTTCTATAATCTACATAAGTAGATTCCTAAATTGGTACAGGCTGCTTCATATTCATTCCAGGCAACAAAGTGAGATAGTAGAGAATCAGAGAGTCAGAGGTTGGCAGGTACATCAATAACAGATAAAGAAATTAAAGAATTTTGGGCCGGGCGCTGTGGCTCACACCTGTAATCCCAGCACTTTGGGAGGCCGAGGAGGGTGGATAAGGAGGTCCAGAGATCGAGGCCATCCTGGCCAATATGGTGAAACCCCGTCTCTACTAAAAATACAAAAATTAGCTGGGTGTGGTGGCGAGCACCTGTACTCCCAGCTACTCAGGAGGCTGAGGCAGGAGAATCGCTTGAACCCGGGAGGCAGAGGTTGCAGTGAGCCAAGATTGCACCACTACACCCCCCAGCCTGGCGACAGAGTGAGACTCTGTCTCAAAAAAAAAAAAAAAAAAAAAAAAAGAATTACGTTCCATTATGTATACTATCCATATCTTCATTCTAGAGCTGTTAACATTTAATATCTACATATATGAATAATATATATCATATTTTATAAATATATGTTTTCATTGAAAAAGAAGATATTGCTATTTTGGATTAATATTTATTGAAAATGCAAACATTTGTGGGCTAAATATACTGATTGGCTTAGTTTCCTAGGACATTCCTTTGCTCAGTATAGCTCATCAAAATCCACAAAAAAAAAATGCATCAAGATTTTTGTTTTTGTTTGCTTTGGGTTTTCCTTTTGTTGCTGGTTGATTTTGCAGAAATACATGTGCCGAACCAGTTGCTAAACAGGTTTTTCTTTTTATCTTTTTTTTTTTTTTTTTGAGATAAGGTCTTGCTCTGTCACCCAGGCTGGAGTGCAGTGGCGAGATCCCGGCTCACTGCAGCCTCCACCTCCTGGGCTGAAGTGATCCTCCCACTTCAACGTCCTAAGTAGCTGGGACTACAGAGCCATGCCACCATGGCCAACTAATGAACTAATTTTTGTATACTTTATAGAGACAGGGTTTCACCATGCTGCTCAGGCTGGTCTCAAACTCCTGGACACAAGCGATCCTCCAGCCTTGGGCTCCCAAACAGCTGGGATTGCAGGCGTGAGATACCTTGTCTGGCCTTGAGCAAGTTTTTCTATGCTACATTTGTCAAACTAGACACTAATATTGATCCAATCTAATAATTATGTTTTTATACTGAGTAAAAGCAGGAGTTGTAAGCTCGAAGGCTAGGAGGAGGTTAGGCTTGTGGCCAAATTGGAGAATATAAGCTGCTTCTACAGGCATTTAAGTTCAAAATTTTCAAGAAAATTGACTGGTCAAATAAAACATATCTGTAGGCTCAATTGGTCCACAGATCACCAATTTGAGGTTTCTTGTCCAAAGATATTTAAAACTTTTAGGGAACAAAACTTGAATAACATTGACAATAATTCTACAAGTTTCAATAGTGTAATTTCTCTGATGCTTAAAATAGATGAGGATCTTTTCCTCTGATGATTGATAAGCATAAAAAGATGAAATCATTTTGGATATAGGCTTAGCCAAAGATAGGAAATATATTGTATTAATAGTTGATGGTTGTATTTACTCTCCCATACAAGGTTTGTGTCTGGCAATGTTTTTAGTCCTGATTTATGTCACTATATTGATTAACATGAGAACAAGAGTGATATTTCCGATATGGAGTATGATTTAATAAATGTTAAGGCACCAAGCAAGCCCTATATTGGCCTTTTTAAAAAAAAAAAATCACATTATGAATTCAACTATACCATTTCTCTGTCACCCAGGCTGGAGTGCAGTGGCGCGATCTCGGCTCACTGCAAGTTCCGCCTCCTGGGTTCATGCCATTCTCCTGCCTCAGCCTCCCAAGTAGCTGGGACTACAGGTGCCCACCACCACGCCCCTGGCTAATTTTTTTGTATTTTTAGTAGAGACGGATTTTCACCATTAGCCAGGATGGTCTGAATCTCCTGACCATGTGATCTGCCCACCTCTCCATCCCAAAGTGCTGGGATTACAGGCATGAGCCACCACGCCCCGCCCAACTATACCATTTTCCAATGTTGGCACTCATTTTAAATGTTATTAAGGTGAGTCTGTAGGATTCACTTAAAGAATGTGTACATCGCCATACTCAGCTAATTTTTACATTTTTTGTAGAGACAGGATCTCCCTGTGTTGCCCAGGCTGGTCTTAAAGTCCTGAACTCAAGTGATCCTTCTGCCTCAACCTCCCAAACTGCTGGCATGAGCCACTGCATCTGCACGTCAGATATATTTTTTTAAATGACCAACCTTTGTAATACATATGAGATTCATTTCAAATGTCTGCAGATATTATACATACTCAATCATATAAAATTAATTATGATTGAGAATGTTGTGTATTTTTTGTAATTAGCTACGTACTTTTTATTTTTTTATTTTTAAAACCCTATGATTAAAGGGTAGTTACCTAGTTTGGGAATCTAAACCAACTCTTGGTTATAAAGGGTTGTTATTAAATGCCAGGTGTGGTGGCTCACACCTCTAATCCCAGCACTTTGGGAGGGCCAAGGCGGGTGGATCATTTGAGGTCAGGAGTTCAAAACCAGCCTGGCCAACATGGTGAAACCCCGTCTCTACTAAAACTACAAAAATCAGCCAGGTATGGTAGCACACGCCTGTAATCACAGCTACTTGAGAGGATGAGGCAGGGAAATCACTTAAACCCAGGAGGCAGAGGTTGCAGTGAGCTGAGATTGTGCCACTGTACTCCAGCCTGGGCAGCAAAGTGAGACACCACCTCAAAAAAAAAAAAAAAAAAAGCTGTTATTTGGTAAATATTTGGGTGCTTTTTAATAGTATTTAATAAGCACCAGGTTTGTTATTTTTAATGATGTTACCCCAAGTGTCACTTATTTTTAAATTCATTTTATTTTGAGACAGAGTCTCATCTGTTGCCCAGGCTGGAGTGTAGTGGCACAATCTCGACTCACTTCAATCTCCACCTCCCAGGTTCAAGTGCTTCTCGTGCCTCAGACTCCCAAGTAGCTGGGATTACTGGGGCCTGCCAACATGCCTGGCTAATTTTTGTATTTTTAGTAGAGATGGGGTTTCACCACATTGGCCAGGCTGGTCTCAAACTCCTGACCTCAAGTGATCTGCCCACCTCAGCCTCCCAAAGTGCTGGGATTACAGGTATAAGCCACCATGCCCGACTCCCAAGTGTCACTTTTGACACAATTCATGCCCTCAAATGACATGTTATATATTGTTGTAGAATAATATCAAGAACAAACATGATAGTTAATATTTTATGAGAAAGGTAATTGGTAATATGAATATTTGTGAAGGTGAATTTTCAACCAAAGGAGTAAACTTTTGTTTCAGGGTGCATAAAAACAAACGAAAATATTTAAAGATCTGATTCAGTTAACATTTGAAATAAATATATATAAGCACATTATATAGTATGCCAATATCATGTAATATCCCTATTAACATTTAATATTAAAATTTATATTTATGGATACTTACAATATATTAATGATGTCCGTAATATGAATTAGTTCTTAACCAGAGCATTCTTGATAAGAGACTGATGAAAAAAGTAAGCTTCAACCAGGAAAGTCCGTCTAGAGATTAGCTAATATAAAGCAGTGAGAGACTGACATTCTTTTGTGAGAAGACTCTCAGATGTAACTGATAATTCAGTTTCTCTGCCACAGTAGGTTGTTGCACATAATTATCCTTAGACCTCATCAGACCTAAGAGAAAGGCCTGACACACCATAGGAAATTATGTTCTGTGTGCTTAGCTAATGTCCCATCACAGCATGGAAAAACAAGAAGCTCTGCAAGCCGTGATTACGTTAACGGTTTTCTTTCTTAAATGTTTTTCTACCATTAAAATTCTGAAAAGTGTAGTTGAAAAGCCAAACATAATCTTACTTAGATAAGCCTACTTTTGACTGGGATTCACATTGGCTTATATCTTATCAAATACTCCCAAATCCTAGGAAGTCAGCAGATATTAAAACATATTTTTGGTATTAATCATCAGTAATATTAGGGCAAGGACTAATGGGCAGGCACTGATTAAAGTTGATCATTTCATAATCCCAAAAAACATGTACTGCCCAAGAGGATAAGCCTTAAAGAAGCATTAGCAAATCACTGTTTCACCCTGTCATCTTCAACTATTATGATGAATGAATTGGTGATTTTATTTTAGTCTACACATCCTAGGGAAAATTCAGGATGTGAGGGGTTATAAACGATGATTGTGTAGAAAAACACATAAAAGATTCTGATTGTGGCAATATTGCTTGCTTTATTCTTTACTATCAAATGAAATAAGGCTCTATGCTTTCTACATCAATATTGGAATGTTCAATGATTCAGAAGTGAGGAGAATCTATTTCCTTAGCTTTCACAGAGTAGAGGTGATTGTTTTTAATAACCTGTTTCTAATTGTTTTTTGAAATGGAAATAGTTGTTATAGCTCATTTGTTCTGTGTTGCATCTAAACCCTTATGAAGGCAGCATATGTGCTCTTAATGGGATTTTTTCCCCCTAATAACTCTAATAAAATATTTTGTCCTGTTCCCATCTGTGAATATGGGAATGAGATAGGCTGTCCCTGTGTTCAGTTTGTGGAAGTGGACGTAAAAAGTGCACTGCAATATAACTAATGTTGTCAGTAATGAAGATAGCTACGAGGTGCTATTGAAATACAGAGGAATTCTCTCTGGGGAACATAAGCTTAATATCTGACTACCGCCAAGATGTTGCTTATACCAACCACAAAATGGCCCATCTTTATAGTTATTTCAACTGTCAAACTATATAGATAATGGCTCTAAGTGAGTTCCATCCATTCCTGCAATTTCATTAGTTCTGCCTTTTTCATTAAAAACAAAAGGTAATCAGGCCCCATGTATATCCAGAATGGAAGACTTTTGTATAATGTATTCATTAAAAATAAACATATCAGATACTAATGTCAGCCTTAATTGTATCTTTATTTTCTGCATGAAACAATGCAGAGATTTGACTAAAGACTAACATTTAATAATTTTCAGTTACAGCCCTTCAGTGAAAGCTTTGAGATAAAGCAACTAGAATCTCAAAATGATCGAGCCAACTCTGTGAATTAGTATTAAGCATAACTATCACATATGTAAACGCGAGTTATCCTCTCCAATATAGGGGAGGCATATAGGAAACATGGGAAAGTAGCAGTATGAACAAGAGTAAAACAGGTAGTAGAAAACAACAGCATAGGGATGAAAACCTTGCAAACAAAGAATTACTAATTTAAAGTGTAAAAATTTTGCAAAGGGAAGATAACTCAATTTCTACATTTTCAGCTCTTTGTATTAAACATTTTTTCATCTGTAACTAGATATTGGTTTTTCTTCTCCATAGTAAGATCACCTGATATTTGATAATTTATGCTTTTATTACTACTTGTTTTATGATACCAACATTTATGTTCACATCCTCAAGGCTTTATTTTCAAGAAAAAATAAAGTCGTAGTAGCACAATGTGATAAGCTCCATCTTCCAACCAATTTTTAATTGTCTCATTGGTATGTATATTAGGACTAAATGGCTGTATTCCATGCAAAAAGTAAAATGAGCAGTAAGTCAAGTGAGTATTCAGGCTATATAAAAACTTCTACCTACCTGGGCCTTGATTATTCCTGGTAAGATGATTAATGATAGAAAAGTAGATTATGAAATAAGAAAACTAAAAGGCATGTTAAATGCTCTTTAAAGGTTTTTAACTCCTGTCTGGTGGAGCAAATGGACACCATCTGTATAAGAAAGCCAGATACCAAGAAACTGAGAGTTTTACTTAGTGAAACCTTCCACTACTTATGAAAAGTCAAATATCATGTATAACTCATCCAGATCAACTAGTCCCTAGACACTGATTTTTGGGAAGGATGTAAGAGAATTACTGACTCAGATTTAGGGTTTAAAGACTATTGAGAAATAGGAAGGTATTGAGAGATTATTGGGTTTCATCAGAGCAGACTTAAGTAGCCTGGTTGATTTTAGATTTGTCACAGCAAAATCATGCTTGGATGCTCGAGGCCTGGCAGAACCTTGCTGGTCTCTGTAGGGTGGGATAAGTGAAGCAACATTAAACCAGGTGCAGTCCTTAATTTCTCAGGTAACATAACTTTAGAAAAAACAATTCTAATACAAGTTAACTCCTGTCTGGTTGAGCAAATGGACACCATCTGTATACAAACGTCAGATACCAAGAAACTCAGATCTTTACTTAGTGAAACCTTCCACTACTTATGAAAAGTCAAATACCATTTATAACTCATCTAGATCAACCAGTCCCTAGACACTGATTTTTGGGAAGGATTTTTAGAGAATTACTGACTCAGATTTAGGGCTTAAAGACTATTGAGAAATAGGAAGGTATTGAGAGACTGGGTTTCATCAGAGCGGACTTAAGTAACCTGGTTGATCTTAGAATTGTCACAGCAAAATCATCATGCTCAGATGCTTGGGGCCTGGCAGAACCTTGCTGGTCTCTGAAGGATGGGATAAATGAAGCAACAGTAAATCAGGTGCACTCCTTGATTTTTCAGGTAACATAACTTTAGAAAAAAACAATTCTAATACAAGTGTAACCTTATCCTGTTAACTCTGTTTCAAAAATAATTCTAAAACACTAAGACAATGCTTATCCTATTGCCTCCAAAATAGGATTTTGTATTTTAAATGGTTTACCAAAAAATGTATCTTATACTTTTGGGTAAACTTTTATTTTGTTATACAACCAAAAATCTTAAAACTATCTTAGTACATTAACGTTTTAACAGGTCAACTTTTAGTCTTTATGAGCAGTTTTCACGAAGTTTTACTCGACATTTAAAAAATGTAGTTAACATACTGTAGATGCTTCAATATTGCTGCTTATTCTTTGTAATCTTATTTGGCATAATATAATCATGTTCAGAGTTATTTTAAAGTAACTTAAAGTGAACAGACGCACTCCCTCCTCCCCCCACCCTCAATTAAAAAAAAAAGGAAAACAGAAAGAAAGAAAAAGAACAAAAAATAAGATTAGGTTCTAGGAGGAGGGAAACCCTAATCCAAGTGTGGGGATACAGAAGTCAGCTTTTTGCACCCATTCTCCATGCTACAGAATAAAATTTGAGACTACAGCCAAATATTTTCTAAAACCTTTCAAGACGCTCCAGTGGATTTCTGGATTTGTTCCTTTAAAATCAGGATACTCTGCCTTTGCTCAGGGGGCAGCATGGCAATCTGATCTGCAGTCAGTTGAAGAACCTGCATGATCAAAGCTGCCTTCTCCTGATCCTGTGGAGTGACCTGGCTCTGCCCAGGACTAAAACTGCTAGGCTGGCTTCCACCTTGCTTGCTTGCCCCCTGTATACCTCCTCCTTGTATACCTCCTCCTTGTATACTGACTCCTTGTATGCCTGCCCCCTGCATCCCTCCTCCTTGTATGCCTGCTCCCTGCATGCCTGTTCCTTGTATGCCTGTACCCTGCATACCAGCTCCAGGATTCCCCACCCCTGAAATGCCTGGGACCTGTCTGGGTCCCTGAGGAGGGCCACCTGCCCCTATATTAATGGGACCAGGACCCTGAATTCCACCAGTCATAGGGCCTCTTGAACTGGGGACAGGGCCCCTCATCTCCAATCCTCTTGCATCCATGCCCCTTGCTTCCATCCCTCTGGTTTCCATCGCACAGGTCTCCATTCCTCTCCTCTCCATTACACGTGTCTCTAAGACCTCAGTTTCCATGGCACGAGTCTCCATCGCTCGAGAATCTCTACCACCTCTACCATCCATAGGTAGACCCCTTTGATCTATCATGGGGCCTCTGGGCTCTCCAATTAGCAGTCTGGGATCTCCTAATGGCCCTCCCCTCATCTCATGTGAGGAAGGGCCACGAGTGTCATGACCAGAGGCATGATGCATGGGGGGACCCTGATGGGGTGGACCCAGATAACCTCTGGGCTCCACTTCTCCAGTGACTGAAAGCAAAGTCCCTCCACGTGGGTCATTTGGAGCATCTCCTAACAGTCCTCGAGGAGGCAGACCACCAGGAGTCACGGGTCCGCGAGGTATAGGAGCTCTAGGATCTGACATCTGCACTTGTCCCCGCTCTAAAGGCACTGGGCCAACCCCTGGCATTCCAAGTTGGGGCTGCATTGCTCCTCCAGGAGTTAAGGAACCAGGACCAGCTCCGGGAACTGCAGCTGGTATTGGCCCTGGAGCTGGAATTCCACCCTGGATAGGAGTCTGCATCAGAGGAGGAATGTCCTTCACAGGTCTTCTAGCCAAATGCTGAGGCTGAGGAGCTGGAGGATTCTGCTGGTTCAGCAGAACATTAGGTCCTGGGCAGAGCCCAGGGCCAGGGCCAGGGCCAGGGCCAGAGACAGACACAGACTGAGATTTGCCTGGGATCAGTGGTGTGACATGTATCTTCCGATGCAGAATTTTCAGAGCAATCTCTGGATCCATGATTCTCATCACTACTTGTGCCTGCAACAGTGCATAAGCCAGTTGTGGATTTTGAAGTAACATGTTTCGAGCTTCCTGGTGGCTGTTTTGGACACAGAGCTTCATCTGCTTCATCAGCTCAAACATCTGCTCCGGGGGGAGACTGGCTACTGCTCTGGTAATCGATTCAGGGGCATCTTCTGGATCGATGGGATCCCCATAGGGTGAGTCAATAATGGGCGCTGCAGGCCCAAGGCTCTTTAACTCCTCCTTATTCTTTTCACTGGCAGCATTGTCCACCCGAAGCGCTCTCCCACTGAACTCCCGCCCATTGAGGTTCCGCATGGCACTAAGCGCGGTCTCCTGGTCTTGGTATTCGCAGAAGCCATAGCCCTTGGGTTTTCCCGTCTCTCTATCGTATACCAGCCGGAAACTGACAACAGAACCAACCTCCGAGAAAATGTCCTTTAACTGCTCCTCAGTTGCCTCATATGGAATGTTCCCCACGAACACGGAACGCAGTGATCGATCCATTGCCGGGTCTCTCACCGCCAAACTCGACATGATTCCGGTTGTGCAGACAGCCGATAGCGGATTCTTCGAGGCGTCTGTCCTCTTGCGACCGACACTTCCGCTGAGCAACGGAAGCGGCTTTCAAGATCCGGGCAGAAACTTTACTAATTCGCTTGAATCGTTCCGCTTGCCTGTGGAACCTGCATCCCACTAACAACTTATCTAATGCTTTCAGTCCCTGATCCTTCATGGTTCTGTCAGCTTCTTATTACAGAGTCGCATGATTCCTTTCCCATTTCACGTTCCGCTGACTTTCTGTGGGGCCCCAACAGCCCCACTACGACACGCTTGGTACGAGATGACCACAGTAAAGATGGCCGCATAGACTTCACCGTAGTAACTGGGAGGGGACTCTTCCCTTGACGTCAAAGGCGGTTTTGCTTCCGTTCCGCTGGCGGGAAACCGCCAACCGAAAGCGGATTTAAGGCGGCGTGTTTTTCGTTCTGACAAAGTATTTTCATGTGGCCTTTTATTATAGTATAGTTAAGCTAGATTTAAAATCACATTCCAGACTGAGGGAAAAGCGTAGTCGTTTCAGCACATTTGAGATTTGCCCCTTAAACTAAAACAGTATTATATCTCCTTTTTAGAACAACGTTTTTGGAAATTAACTGACAAGAAATATAAACTGAAGCGTGTGCCGGCTGGGCCCTGCCCCCATTCTGTTGCTTCCTATAACCGCTGTTAATGGATGGGTGGCAGACCCTTCTAGGTTTTTCCTGAGCACACGGGCAGCCGTCGTGCTATTCCTAATATTACGGTTTTCTTCCTTAATAACAACCGATTTCAATATTAATTGGTGATTAAATAAATTAGTGATTAATTAGTTATTAGTATTTTATGGCTTCAGAGTATGGAATAAAGAAATTTACTTAACTATCCCTACGTTGATTGGTTCTGATTTTTATTATATCATGCAGTGAGTCCACCACTTCCATGAAGGGAGAAACAAATAGCGGGTGTTTGTCTTCTGCTGTTAGCTTTGCAGGTAGGAGTTAAAACATATTCAGTGTGGTGTTTCCCCGCCTGCAATTCGAAGCTAGAACTGAAGCTTGGAGAGGGCTAGGTAAATTCCCAAGGACAAGCAGCTGGAAAGAGGCCAAGTCAGGATTCTAACCCAGCTTGGTCTCGCATAGCTCCAATTCTACACTGCCTTACGTGTATTGAATATATGAAATGAAGCTAGTGTGATTGAAGAAATGAATTTTAAATCTCATTTTTTATTTAAATATAAAAACTAATGTTCAGTAAGCTATTGGAAAACTTTTTTAGTATTTAGAACAACTTGGATATAGAATCTACTTTTGCAATAATAAATTGTGTTCTAAATAAAAATCATTTTGAAGAACACTAAGACAAAAAATAAAAACAAATAAAAAGAAAGTATTTCCAGTCAAAATTTAACATACTGGTTGAGGTGTGCCATACATGTAACATACATGAAAGATTTTAATGATCAAATACAAAAAAAGTAAAAATAGCCCATCAATTTTATATTTTTTATAAGTCGAAATGTAATATTTTTATATATTTGAGTAAAAAATTATTTTGAAGTTAATGTTATTCATTTCATTTTACTTTTTTAAATGTGGCTATTAGAAAATTTAAAATTATATGGATAGATTGCATTATACTTCTGTGGACTGGACTGCTCCAAGCCTGTGCTTTAATTCCAAAACAGAGAATTATTTTATTCTGAAATATGCCTCTTAAGTGGATTATGAAACTTTTAAATTTCAGCAAAAAAATTGTATTATGTATCTTCAGTATCCTATTCCAATGAATAGATTTGACATGAGTATGATGGTTTAGCTGCAAATAAGACATCCATTTACCTTCAAGTTTTTGAAACAGTTCTGCACTTAGCTGTTCACCCAAGATGCGCGACAGTTTATATTTGCAAGTGACAAGGTTCATTTACATCACCTAATAAGATTTTCCTGCTATGTCAAAGAAACGGAATAGTCACCTGCTAGCAATGTTTCCCCAGTGTGATTCTTTTATTGGGGACGAAAGGGGAGGGGTTAAGGATAGTATCATTTAAAAAAACTAAAGACAAATCTATTTTTCTTCCTTCTATACCATCACTTTACAAAGAGAAGGCATACCTTTTTTATACACATTCTGTCAAGGGTAACTTACAAGTTGAATATGTGTGTAATTGTGTGTGTATTAAATGTAGTAATCATGAAGATGGTAATGGGGTATTATAATATGTTGCAAAATTCGTAGAAGATTGCACATCTTGACAGAGTTTCTTTACTGCTGATACTGTCTAAACCAGTGGTCTTCACATGTAGCAGAACCACCTTGAGCCATGGCTTGTTAAGTCAGATTCTGCTTTATCAGGTCTGGAGAATTTGCATTTCTAATAAGCTCTCAGGTGATGCTGATGCTGCTGGTTTGGAGATCTTTAAGAATCATTGGTCCTAGGGATTGGTAGTAGATTTTCTCATTTACATCAGACCAAACTAAATTTGGTACACTCTATTAAAAGGTTTGAGGTAAAGGTTTTTAAAACATTATGAATTTACTATTAATATACTATTCTAGTACATGCTGATCTGCTACTGAAGATACCCTGGACATGAAGACTGGGTGAACAGAGAGTAGCTGAAGGACTATGGGACAAACAAGAAGGGGGAAGTTATGACTGTAGAGTGTGCTTTAGTCACAGGCTTTCCATGTTCTCTTTAGTCCCACTGTTCCAAACTAGAAGAATGGTTTGTCATGCCC
This sequence comes from Homo sapiens, assembly GCF_000001405.40. Classification (NCBI taxonomy): domain Eukaryota; kingdom Metazoa; phylum Chordata; class Mammalia; order Primates; family Hominidae; genus Homo; species Homo sapiens. The sequence continues at coordinate 51,702,295 of NC_000010.11, forward strand.
CCGTTCATACAGGACCAGTGTGACCCACCATGTAATTCCATGCCCAGAACACATGAACTAATACTTATTGTTAACTCAATGTCCCCAAATCAAGAGCTCAGATAAACCTATGTATATTTCCTGGTACCAGTACATATTTTTTTATAGATCTAACTTGGAAGAACATCCATTTTTATACTGCTTTTTTATTCCCATAAAGTTTAAATTTTAGATATTTATAGCATGGCATACACTCTGAAGAAAAGTGTACATGGTATAGTGTATGTCCAGACGTTGATTCTTTCAACAGATTGATACCAGATATATTAAGACTGATTTCAAACACACAAGAGCATCTATGGCCAAATGGAAACTGTCCTTTAATCACTTTCAGAAACTACAAACTTAATCCATTGTTCAAAATGAATTTTTTTTTTTTTGACACAGGATTTCACTCCTGTCAGCCAGGCTGGAGTGCGATGGCGTGATCTTGGTTCACTGCAACCTCTGCCTCCTGAGCTCAAGCAATTCTCCTGCCTTAGCCTCCCGAGTAAAGACTACAGGCGTGTGCCACTACTCATGGCTAATTTTTTGTGCGTTTTGTAGAGACGGGGTTTCACCGTGTTGGCCAGGCTGGTCTTGAACTCCTGAGCTCAAGCGATCTGCTTGCCTCAGTCTCCCAAAGAGTTGGCATTACAGGCATGAGCCATTGCACCTGGCCTCAGACTGATTTTTGAACTTCTACCCTGAAATTGCTTTGGGCCTTCATTTATAAGTCATACTAGAAAATCGGTACATTAACTGAAAAGTATACTTTATTTTTAACAAAGAACAGGATTATGCAACAAAATCACCCAACTTCCTGACCAGATTTGGCAAAAATATCATGCTTAGCTAATTCCAAATATCAAACCTTACATCAGAATACAAAAATTCTATACACTTTGAAGGAATTTTTTAAAAAAAGATTCACTATAGAGTGTAAGGAAAAAAGAAAAGATTCACTATTGATTCAGTAGACAAATTCCAAAGACAAGAACTACAAATATTTTGAGTAATGACAGTCATTTTTGAAATAAGTGTACGGGTCCTTCAAGGAATAGCTCAAATAAACTACTCCACAAAGCTTTCTATGACCTTTCTACCCTTTCCCCTAGGTTAGAAGTAATTTTGTTTTTCTTTGGATATAAACCTTGATATACCTTGTACCTTTCTGATTATAGTAACTCCTTTACCTTTCAGCAAAATTGTGATTTTCCTTCTAAACTGTAAAATCATTATATATCCCCCTTTATCAGTTAACTAAGTGCCTCAAATTTATTATTTCATTCCATCAATATTTATTTCAAGCACTGACAATACAGCAGTGAAAACAATAGTCTGCCAGAAAAGAAGGTCTGTAAATGTGGTCCTTGGTTCAGTGGCATCAGCATCACCAGGAAACATCTTAGAAATTAAAAGTTTGGGGCCCTACTCCAAATCTATTGCATCAGAAACAGAGAAATCTTTGAACAAGTTTTCCAGGTAATTCTAATGCAAGCTCAATTTTGAGAACCACTACATTATAAGATTGCAATCATAGTTGCCAGGCACAGTGACTCACGCCTGTAATCCTGGCACTTTGGAAGGCGGAGGTGGGTGGATCATTTGGTCAGGAGTTCAAGACCAGCCCGGCCAACATGGTGAAATGGTGAAACCCCGTGTCTACTAAAAATACAAAAATTAACCAGGTGTGGTGGTGCATGCTTCTAATCTCAGCTATTTGGAGGCCAAGGTTTGAGGATTGCTTGAACCCGGGATGTGGATGTTGCAGTGAGCTGAGATCGCACCACTGCACTCCAGCCTGGGCAACAGAGTGAAACTGTCTCAAAAAAAAAAAAAAAAATTAAATAAATAAATAAATAAAATTAAATTAAATAAAAAGAATGCAATTATAGTATAGTAGCTGATAGATGATAGATAGACAGACAGACAGACAGATAGATAGATAGATAGATAGATATTTTGTTTTCACCTCTGTATCCTCAGCACCTGGGATAGAGCTCAGCACAGGTGGATGTTCATTATATATTTGTTGAATGAATGACAGGAAATGACTTTAAAGTTTGCTAATTCACAAATATTTCATTTTACCAAGGACGGAGCCTGTGGCATTGAATAACGTGCCTCAAATCAAAGACAAGACATGCTGCCAGGACCCTTGTCATTTTATTCCTAGGTCAGTGATAGTTCTTCCATGTTGCCATTTGATGAAATGGATATGCAATAAAGTATGTAGAGATGGAAGAGAGTGATATGTTTTAGATTATCAAGGAAAGCTTTCTGATGGAAATGAGATTTAGGGAAGGGTTATAATCTGGCATAGATAGGTAGAAGATGAAGAAAATAAACCAGAAGCTAGTAATAGCCAACGCAAGAAATTGGGACCTGGTGTTTTTTACGGCCTCAGAGGAAACCAAGAGAGTTGGTGAGGAGTGTGACAAAAGATGGGCTTCTGGGACAGATTATAAAAGGTTTTGAAGTTCAGATTCATGAATGTGAACTTGATGTGAGAGTCAGTAGGCTTCCTTCACCACCCCCTGAAACATGAACATAGAATAATAATGGCAGAGGCTTAAGAATACCAAACTTATCTAATCCTTTTCTATATATTTTCTACCTAGGCTGTTCTTTTTTAATACCTTATAACTTTTAATCTAAATTGTGGTGGTTGTTCTTCCTACATATAACACACTCTGTTACGTAGCTTCATTCTCATTACTTCTCTCCATCCCTTCACATATTCTCCTCTGGCTAAATTGTACCACTCACTTTTTATCATACATGATCTGTATTTTTTCACCTCCTAGCTTTTTGTGATACTATTTGTCAGGGATGCTTCCTTTTTTCCTCTTCTTCTCTTCCCTCCCCCATGTTTAAATCTTTCTGTTCTTCAATGCTCACCTCAAAGACTTCCATTTAGAGTACTGGTTTGGTACTCATTATCTTCTATATTAGAGGTATCAATATTCTTGTATTACCATAAAATCCATATCTGATTGATATTCTCCACAATGCCTGGTCCAGTGCCTTTTATATTCCAAGCACTTAGTAAATATTTTTAAATTAATACAAGATCATCTTACAATAACAAAATATAGATGTTAACCAAATGATAATTTAGTGCCTTTTGCTTACAAAATACTTTTCTCTGGGTTCCCACATTTAGTCTTGATAACAGTCTTATGAAGTACATGCAATTGTTTCCTGATTTTTAACAATGAAGAAACTCAGAGAGTTATTATGTAGAACTTTACCTAACAATGGACTCACTCAAAATACAGATGCTTTATAAAGGCAAACTCTGAGCACTTAGTAGGGAGAAGGCTCTTTGATAAATGCTTTATATAATATAATATTTTATTCTTTCTGCAACCTTTTGAAGATAGGCAGTCATAGTTCCTCAATTTATAGGTAAAGAACAGAGGCACAGAGAAGTTAACTAGTGTGCCTATGTCAACTAGCAGAACGAGGATTTGAACACAAACCATTTGGCTTAAGAAATCAAGCTCATAAATCATTGTTCTATTAAATGAGTTGCCTAAGGATACATAGCTACTAAGTGGCATAACGACAACCTGAAAGCAGGTCTCCTGAATTTGAACTTTCTATTTCATAAGTAGTACAGTAATCACAAGTTATTGACGCCTGGGCACCATCTCCCTTGGCATTTTTCCTGTTTGTCTCTGAGTGTAACTAATTGCAGTTGTGACATCACAATCAGTGCTGTGGTAACAGATGGACTGTGAGGTATAAAGACTGAAGCAATAGAGAAAATGTTTCCTTTTTCAATTTGCAGGACTATAGTTAAACTTCACCTAAAGACTTTTATAAAGCATCCAGTTAGTTAAAGCATGCATTTTTCCATAAAATGAAAGAGCTCAAATTAATTTGGTATATAACTTTTTTTCCCAAAATGCTTAGTGTATTTAATATGAAACAATGTACAGAGGAATAAAAAGCAAATTTCATGTACTCAAACTCCTAACCTCAAATGCTCCACCTGCGCTGGCCTTCCAAAGTGCTGGGAGTGAGCCACAATGCCTGGCCCTGAATTTCATTTACTTATACACAGGATGAATCACTGTTATTGGCAAGTGCAGATTACATGAATTTGGGGCTGCTGGGAGTCTGCCATTTCTGGACTTGAGGTTGAACAGAACCAAATGTTCTCCCTGGAAGGGATTGCGAAGTCCAGCCCAATTTTTTTTTTTTTAATAGATAAAGAAAAGAAAATGACGCCCAGGAAAGGAAAGAAATTAGACCAGGCTCAAATGTCCAGTTACTGATCTAGCTTGTAAAAGGATTTAGATATTCAGATTTTTCTCATCCAAACTATACTCTCAGCACTTAGAAAAGGCAGTAGAGTGAAGGAATTAAGAGCACAGAGATTTTAATGTCAGAATGACTTAGATTGGCTACCTAGTTCAACACGTAATTTTGTGGCATTGTACAAATTACTTCGCCTCTCTGTGGTTCCATTTCCACATCTTTTAAATGAGAGTAATGTCACCTGTATTGGATTATTGTGTGGAATACATGATATACTTATATTTTTATTATTCCTTACATTGTATGGTCATTATTAATCTACATTGGTTATCTAGTAATAGTAGATGAAGTAGCATCTTATGTGGAAAGAGACACAAGTTTTAGTCTGATGCTATTTATTTGGGGGCCTATATCTTTATTTTTATTATTGAAAGGCTTGTACTTGTACTAATGGTCTTGTCAGATTATATTATTTTCAAGTTGTACAACCTTAACACTGCCATTTTAGCCTTTGGTAGATTTGTAGTTGAAATGGATACTTTTTAGGCTTGATCCCATAGAATACTTCAATGAGAATTTTACCGATCATCTTGGTGCACATTAGGTTCTTGTACTAAACCATGAAATGCACTCTTCAAATATGTAGTCGGCTAGAATTCCACTTGTCCATTTTTATTAAAAGGGCCTGCCTGAACTTTGACTGTGGAGGATATAGGCTTATTTAACACCACATCGTTCTGCCACACAAGGTACCTACTCGAGCGCATAGTCCTGTTCAGGGTGATATTAGGACTACTACTTTTAAGTGTGCACTGGCAGACGTAGGCCATTTATTCAAACATAGAAAGGCATAGCTAATTAGACAAGAAGCAGAGCTCCCTTATTCGTGCTTCAGGCTGTCACCCGAAGGAACGCAGAAGTATCCTCATAAACTGTGGAAAAGTACAAGCCCTGTAACTAGGTCTGAATAAAGATACCCTATTTAAGTGGAACAACGCATGAATCTTTTTTTTTTTTCCTGTGACCGGAACAATACAACACCTCACTTCAGAGAAATGTGTAAACTGCCACTCACTTCAGAAATTTGGCTAGTATATCTCTTCTGAGGCTAGGTTGGTCTGAGAATGTGCCTATATTTGTACCAAGTTACAGGAAAGAGGCCTTTCTGAAAACATTTGATTCCAGGCTCAGACTGTTGAAAACAACAAATGTCAGTTTAACAGAATATATTTTAGATTCATTATCACAGTTGAATGATCCTTGAAAAACATTATGTCAAGAATTCCAGTTTAAATTTACCTTCTAACTCTGGATTCTTGAGTTAGAAATTAGAAAACCTAAAATCTAATGTTTATAGGAATGTAGTAGCTAGCATTTTATGGTACACGTACAGAAACCAATTCCAACCAAGGTAAGCAAAGGAAGTGGTGGTTATTTTCATGACATTTTGTTATCTCTCAGAACCCACAGAAATTAATCTGCTAGGCTGCTGTATTAGAATACCACAGACTTAAACAGAAATTTATTTTCTTACAGTCCTACATGCTGGAAGTTCAAAATCAAGGTGCAAGTAGGTTAGGTTTTTCCTGATCCTCTCTCCTTGGCTTGCAAATGGCTGCCTCCTCAGTGTCCTCGCGTCACCTGCTGTGTGCATGCACTCTGGTGTCTCTTCCTTTTCCTGTAGGAACACCCATTGTATTAGATGAGGGGTCCACACGTATGACCTCATTTAATTATAATTATCTCTTTAGAGGCTCTGTCTCTAAATACAGTCACATTGTGGGCTAGGGCTTCAACATATGAATTTTGAGGGACATAATTGACTCCGTAACAAGCAGTAATGCAGTAACCTCTAGGAAAAGAAAAAATGGGTAATTGTTGGCATTCAGAATACTCTATTCCCATCTCTTTCTCTCTCTCTCAAAATCTTTGTCTCCCACTCCCTTCCTCACTCCCTCTTCGCTGCATCTCTTTGTACATTTGTGGTGGTTTTCCTCTGTTGAAGGATCAGATCTCCTATTTCTCTCTCTAGTCCATTGTCATTCCAGTTTTCTGGAACTGGGAATCTGAAGGTCCAGCTTTATTCTGGTGTGTATCTGTGATTCAATTCAGCATTGTTAAGAGGTTGGAGCCAGAGTGATAGTGAGACCATTTACTAGTCTATGTCTGCTGGGGCCGGGTAGTCAGCTGGAGCAGGAGGAAGCCTACAGACCTTTGCGGTGCCAGTTGTTAACCTCCTTTACCTTCCAGGTCATGGAGAGGTCAGGAGACTGACTTGAGGGGCTTGAGGGAGCATCTATCATCCTGTACCACTGGTGTAGCCATACTGGTTACTGCTGAATGTCTATCCTGGTTGACCATGAATTCCAAAAATACTTTGGTGACCTACTCTTATGAAGGAAGGGAGCAGTTAAAAGGGCTGTTTTGAGCTAGACAGCCATTTCCAATGCACATTCTGCCAGAGAAAGTTTGTCCACAACCTTCCTCTAAATCATTCTCTCAATCTCTACAAAACATAAAACATTATTTCCAAAAATAGATCATTTTCTTAGAAATGTTTAAATGTGGACTTCCAGTTAGAAAAATGGTCTAATATAAAACAGTAGAGGAATGTTTAGCCACCAATTCACAGTTTTTAGAAAGTTCCCACCATATATAATGCGTGATCTTCTTGAAGGTGAATACACTGTACTTTTAAAATATCAAACTCTTCCATCCTTCATATAAAAATATTGACCATTTTTCTTGACAGTTTAATGACAAAATCATAGCAACAATTCTTTCAGTTATTATCATCTTTATCACTATCATCTGACATTTATGCTGAAATAGCTGTGTATACGTTCTTGCAGAGCAGTACAATGAGAAACTTTTCTCTCTGGCCTCCAGGTGTTTGTCAATTCCATCCTGGCTCTGGGGAACAAAACAAGTGCCTGCAGGAAAACAGGGAAGTGCAAATGACCTATTCCTCTAGAGCTCAGCCTTTTGTTAGCCTTGAAAATGGAATTGCCTGTGTTGGTCCATAGCCCTTGAGGGGTCTAGGAAAGAGAAGCTGATGCCTGCAGGGAGAATAAAGAAAGTGCCAACATTTTTCTGCCCATGTAGTGGTCTGGAGTTTGCTGCCAAGTGGTCTGGAGTTTGCTGCCAAGGTCCCAGGACTGGGTAATAGTTGCAGGTCTTCATTCTTATCAGCAGGACTTCCACAGGGAGGAGAGGTTCTGGGAAATCCTCCTGACAGCAGGTGTCTGCAAATGGGGAGGCAGAGATGAGGGAGGGAAGGAAAGTGTTTGCATCCCCACCAGGAAGGAAACTTACCTGACACATTTCGTAGCAGCAAGGGTTTGACAATGCTTTAGGATACTAAAGCTAGGATACTCATTATTCAACTAAATGTTGAATTTTATATATATCAGCATGTATTTTATAAATACTGAGTATATACTCTGTGGAAGGTAGGCACACAGTTGAACAATATGGGAGTTTAAATGTGAACGAAAATGTGACTTCTCTTTTCAGTAGTACTTTCACAGGAAACTTTATCATTAGCCTTTCTCTTGAACTTACACTGAGGATTTATGGTGCTCAGATTTGAGTCTCTGGCAGAACAGCTGTGCCTGCAAGGAGTTTCCCTTCTGTCAGACAAGATAGAGAATAGACGATTTGAGCAGACAGCTTCCAAATGCATTTTTTGATTTGTTTGATTTCCTGAGAGGTATATAGAAAATGAAAATGTAACTGCTGTTCATCCATTGACCCTCTTTCTGAGGTTCAAGATGAAAGATTTTTTTTTTCTTTATTACTGAGAAAAGCACTGTCCCCGAATTCTATCTACCTGTACATACTGAAGATAGGGATTATGATTTATAGTGGCATTCCACTCAAAGTCAGCATAACACTAACAGCTCCTCACACACCCCTTCATCTAGAAGCAGAAGCTTCAGGCAAGCCTGCTCTATGGATAGTACATTGTTGCCAGGCCATTGATTCATTGAGCAGCTAATGGTCCTTTCACGACCAGAGTTCTTAAACGTTAACCTTAAAGCGTAATTTCTTGAGAACAAATTTAAGTACCACATAAGTAAACATAGAACCAAGTTTATTACTTAAATGACTACGATTAAATTTAAATATCATTGTGCTTTAAGCAAATGATGCTATCAGTTTCTTCTCAAAAGTGAAGCATGATAACTTGCTAACCGGGGACAGTAGAGTCAATGTGCCTGTTGATGCCATGATATATCGTCCTGTTTTGGGGGGGGCGGGAAATATTTTTATTTAATTTTCCTTTTTGTTAATAGAGATGGGGGTCTCCCTATGTTAGCCAGGGTCTCGAACTCGTGGCCTCAAGCAAGCCTCCCATCTCGGCCTCCCGAAGGTGCTGTGATTACAGGTATGAGCCACTGCGCCCAGCCAGTGGGGTTTTCTTTTTTAAAGACGTGAAAGACTTACAATTCCCCTTTTGGGCTGGTCAGTGACTAGCTGTGTTAATTATGTTATTTGAGAACTTTGCTTCCTAAGCTGACCTTTTTAATTTTTTTTGAGATGGAGTCTCGCTCTGTCACCCAGGCTGGAGTGCAGTGGTGCAATCTTGGCTCACTGCAAGCTCTGCCTCCCGGGTTCATGCCATTCTCCTGTCTCAGCCTCCTGAATAGCTAGGACTACAGGCGCCCGCCACCACGCCTGGCTAATTTTTTGTATTTTTAATAGAGACAGGGTTCATCGTGTTAGCCAGGATGGTCTCGATCTCATGACCTCGTGATCGACCCGCCTCGGGCTCCCAAAGTGCTAGGATTACAGGCGTGAGCCACTGCGCCTGGCCTGACCTTTCTTTTTCATATACAGTCTCCTAATTTTTTCTCTTTCTCCTGTTTCTATAATTGTTGCCCACTATGTCCATTACTTTCTGACCTCCTTCTTTTACTGAAAATATAAGTGTGTATGCTTCCTGTTGTCTAGGTAGAGGAGAGTTATATTCTTCTAGAAAGAATTGCACCATACGAAACTGAAGTTGTCTTGCCTTTAGTTCCCTCCTCATGGCTCCAAGGCAATTCTGATTGTTTATCTCAAAGCTGTAGCATTTTTTGTCTACTTCCTTTGGAAGACACCAGCACTTTTCCTGTGTGTAGGAGGAAGCTGTCAGTGATTGTGGGTGGTTGGGTGAGAAACCAGATAAGATGGATTGTTGGAAAAGTTAAATTGGTGGAGAGTGTTTGAGCTGTGGGTGAACTTAGAAGAAAACACTTTAATAGATAGATCCAGAATGGCAAAGACTGCAATAAACCAGGGGGGTAATGAGTTTACATTCTTTTCTTCTTTTCTCTTTAAATAGTCTTTCCATATACATTGTAGGGAAGGAAAAATATATTTTCCTCACCCATTCTGCATTCATGGCTGAGGTTTCTATAATAAACAGATGAAGCAGAGGAAAGCGTATAAATTTAATGACTGTAAGTTTTATATGATACAGGAGCCTTCATAAGGAAATGAAGACCTGAAGAAACTGGCAAACATGTGTAATTTTATGCTAAGTTTGATGAAGATTGGATAGTCATGGAGAAATATGAAAGGAGGACAAAAGTTTGTGATCTAACCATAGTAAACTGGGGGAAACTTAGCAAAGCCTGTTTGTTCAGTTTCTTCTTGGCACCTCTGTGTCTCCTTTCCTCTGAGTATAGAGAGGGCACCTCTTACATGGTCTTATGACTTGCTTCAGGGGAAGATCAGAAAGTCCTTACTAGATTTTATGACATGGTTCCAGAAAGAAAGGTCCAGAGAAGGTGAGAGTGATCTTCCTGTTTCTGCTGTTTTCTCAACTGCCAAGGTGCCATATTTTGGGGAAGTGTGTTCTAAACTCTATTGACGTTTATCTATTACAGTTATTGTCAAGTTTTGATGCTTATTTGCAACACTATTTGGAAAATTGAAGATTTAATATATAGCAGTATCATTATACAACTCTGTCTTTTTTATAAATGTTGACTCTAAAATATTATTCCTTTTTTTTTTTTTTTTTTTTTTTTTTTGAGACGGAGTCTCGCTCAGTCGCCCAGGCTGGAGTGCAGTGGCGCAGTCTCGGCTCACTGCAATCTCTGCCTCCCAGGTTCACGCTATTCTCCTGCCTCAGCCTCCGGAGTAGCTGGGACTATAGGCGCCCGCCACCACGCCCGGCTAATTTTTTGTATTTTTAGTAGAGACGGGGTTTCACCATGTTAGCCAGGATGGTCTCGATCTCCTGACCTCATGATCCACCTGCCTCGAATTATTTAATCCTCATCCTCACATAAGACAGCCATGTGAATCCAAACAATTATTATTAGAATTACAATGCCATCCCATGCTAAGTGTTTTACACATAACTGCTCATTCTACCTACACAATAACTCTATGAGGGTTTTTTTTTTTGATGGATGAGAAAACTGAGGCACAGTTAGGGTAACTAATTTTCCCAGGGTTATACAGCAAGTAAAAGCCAGAGCTGGAATATAACTGTCAGCGGTTTCATTAAGGAAAATCATTAACTCCTAAAAGTTCTGCTTTATATTTTTCTGCACTTAGAATACATGTTTTATTCCCCCAAAGGAAACATTCTATTAAATTTCACCAGCAGCCACATTTTCTAACTTTTCTTGCCTTGTCAGCTTCCTGTCAGTTTTGTAAAGAAATGCAGCATAAAACTGACAGGAAAAAATTCTGAAATCTGTAACTACATGACAGAATACTGAAAATTTTTTGCAAAGGGTTATTTTGTCATTTATTGTATAGCACTTAAACCAGAGGCCAGTTGAACAGGTGATTTAATAAAAACCATTTAGCTAATATATTATTTTGCCAAGAAAATTTATTGTGTTGAATTCTTTTCTAATTTTTGATGGTTGCTTCCTTATTAAAACAGAGTGCCTACCAACTCTAAGTTATTTCACATAGGGGAAAAGTAAAGCAGAAGAGGTAGCTATTAATTTAAGCTGTTTTACATTTACACTGTCATTCAAAAGAAAGAAATATATGTGGAATAAGATATATATGATTCTTTGGTAAAGAAAAACACGTAAAACAGCAGATTTCATGTTTAGATGTTCAAAAGGCATTATTTTTAAATAGAGTATTAAGATGGATTGAACATTTCCTAGCTTTAGAACTATGGAAGTCTTTTGCAGACTCTAAAACATGATGCACACCTCAGGCTTCCATAAGTTTATGTAATGCAAGTGATTGTGTTTAGTGTATTAGTATTGGGTCAGACAGGGCAGCAATATAATTATATGGTTTCTAATATCTTTTAAGAAAAAGGCATCCAAACATTATTTAGAATCCCAGATGTTATTTAGAATCTAAAAGAGCTATTTTAATTCAGTAGATCAGTGTTCACTGTTGTTTTTATTTATTTTTTATTTTTATTCTTATTTTTATTTTTTTGAGACGGAGTCTCACTCTGTTGCCCAGACTGGAGTGCAGTGGCATGATCTCGGCTCACCGCAAGCTCCGCCTCCCAGGTTTGCGCCATTCTCCTGCCTCAGCCTCCCGAGTAGCTGGGACTACAGGCGCCCGCCACCAAGCCCGGTTAATTTTTTGTATTTTTAGTAGAGACGGGGTTTCACTGTGTTGGCAGGCTGGTCTCCATATCCTGACCTCGTGATCCGCCCACCTCGGCCTCCCAAAGTGCTGGGATTACAGGCGTGAGCCACTGCTCCCGGCCTATTGCTTTTATTTTTTACACTTATATAGGGCTTACCATATTGGATGACCATAGTTCTCTTTGTAGAGAGGGAAAGAGTGTCTACAAACTCCATGTAAACACCATGGGAGAGGCATGAGCTACTGTCCTGCAGCAACCTTCAATCAGGTGGGAGACTTAAGGCACATTTATGACAACGAAAATAGTAGAATGAAAGAAAGATGGGTAGTTTAAAGGGGTAGAATTTTAGGAGAGAAAAAGTTCCTTTATATCTTGAAAGATAGAAGGAAGAGATGTAGAAGGCAAAGAAATGACCTAAAGAGGAAGATGGAGGGATGTGGTAGGTCAAAATTTTTGTGTACTACAGTATGTACCAGCCATTCCAGAGAATGTCAGATATGTCACCCAATGGCCATGACACTTTCCTGTGGTCACTGAAAGACTGATTTATCCTTCTCCTTATCATCACTTGGAGCAGTAGTTTTGAAAGGTTGGAAGGTATCATTCATTGTTTGTACTCACGAAATGCAGGAAACAACCTAAATATATATTAACAGTGAATTAGATAAGTGAATTATATTTATTAGAGCTGTATGTCATAAAAATGTATCCTTTATTAGAGAATTACATGCAACTATTTTAAAAATGAGAGTAATCTCTATGTGTTCTTATGAAATTATCTCTTATAAATATATTTAATGAAAAAGAGCAAGGGACAGGACAGTGTTACCGTATGCCACTATTCTTTTTTTATTTCCCCCCGTGGGATGTGCATATATATATATGAGCTGTTCATTGGTATATTCATAAAGTATTTCTCAAAGGATATCTAAGACACTAATAATAGTTTCCTGTGTGTAAGAAGACTGGAAGATGGGATAATAGGGAGGTTTGGTTTTTTGTGATATGCTTTTATTTATTGTTAGACTTTATTTACCCTGTGTTCCTCATCACCTCACTCCACAAAAGCATTTCATTATATACAACTTAGATTTCATTTTTCTACTGTTTTTCAAGCTTCATATATAAACAAATTTACAAATTATGCAAGATTTCTTAATCTAATTAGCATGTGTCAGAAATCTCTATAGGAACTCAATAGAATGAAGATACCTGGGTGTCCTCTAGGCAGGTTAAATAAAACTCTGGACAGAGAGCCCTGGAATCTGCATTTGGAATGAACATTTGGAATCAAGTCCTCAGGGGGTATGCAGACTTCACTTTGAGAAACCCTTCATTTGAACATGATTACTATGATTATATTCAAGTGGAGGGCATTAATGTGTCCTGAAATGTAACTGTTCTATGGAATAGAAGGTGATTCAACAGTCTAAGCAATAAACATCTGTTAAAAATAGCAGTTATTATTGTCACTATTGTTACTATTCTAGATCTCCTATCCTGTTGACTTCCTCCCACATAAAGGGGACATATTGCCATTTTTCTATGATTGCACCAAGATTCACCCTGCCTTATATCTAAGGGGATGATGTAAACGGCCCTGATATGGAAAGTCAGAATGAAAAAAATGTTTGAAAACTTTTCTTAGAAAACTTAGATGTGTATTACTAAATTTGATGATGTCCATCAAAAGTGTTGACATTTTTATATGTGATTGTGTGAACTTTACTTTCCCAGGCCTTTCCAAGCTTGTCATTAGACGGGTGGGTCTTAGGCATTCATAGACATGGGGATTATTAGGATGCCAAGCCGTTCTATATTCTCCTCCCAAATCTCACTTCCCCCAAATGCTGAGGCTTCTTGCTATGTGGATGTCAAGCATCATAATGGTTCCATATTCTTTGCTTTGCAGCGTGATGGTCCCTTATTACCCCTTCTCCTGGTGAAATGAAACACTTCATTCTTTCTTTCTACCACCTGCTGCTACTACTGCTTGCTTCTTGCCTGTTCCTATCTGCTGCTCTTGTGGGGAGTGGGAGAGAATTGACCTCACACAGCTTCCAAAAGCAATTACATCTTTTATTTGGCTATCAAGCCGAAACCTGGCTCTTTTAGTTTACAGTCCGTCACCCCTGTTTTTGATAATTGTACTGGAGGATATTTGAGTGTCTTCATCTAGGCTTACAGTCAAACATAACATTCTCTGCCATTCTAAAATCCATGTCTCAAAATTAAGCCCAGGTATCTGGACAGTCATGTACCCCAAGACCTCTGAAGTACCTGGTGTTCTGGGACCTAAACATCTGTCCACAGTCTTTTACAACATTTTACTTAAAGTGTTTCCTGGAAATAAGTTCCCTGATCACTTACCTTAATAACCCAGCACTCCCAGAGTGAGCATACAGATTAGCCTCCAGGTTCGTACAAACATGGGCTTAAGATTGAATTAAAACAAGTTCTTCATTGCCTGATTTCTGGTTTTGTCTCTCTCTTGACCTCCTTTGAAGTGAATGTAGGGCAGTTTTGTTAATAATATTGCTGTTTTTTCTGAGATGGAGTCTCGCTCTGTCTGTTGCACAGGCCAGAGTGCAGTGACACCATCTCACCTCACTGCAACCTCTGCCTGCTGGGTTCAAGCTCTTCTCCTGCCTCAGCCTCCCAAGTGACTGGGATTATAGGTGCAGGCCACCACGCCCGCCTGGCTAACTTTTTGTATTTTTAGTAGAGATGGAGTTTCACTATGTTGGCCAGGCTGATCTTGAACTCCTGACCTCAAGTGATCCACCTGCCTTGACCTCCCAAAGTGCTGGGTTTACAGGCGTGAGCCACTGTGCCCAGCCAATAATATTGCTTTTTGCAAAGTATAAAAGTCTTGTCAGGATTGAGGGTGGGAGGGAGTGGCAGGCAATGTGAACACACTGGTGGGCAGCGGAATTCCAGCTGGTTCTTCCAGTAAGGAAGCCGTGAAAGCACCCTCAGGTCGACGTACCCAGGTCTGAAAATAGAGCAGAGCAAGACTTAAGACTGGGGAAGCAGATGGAAGACAAATACCAGACATTCCCCCTCTTTGCAGTCTCCTTTCTCTCCACCTTTTTTGTCTGGTTTTGTTCCTGTGTAGACATGAGCTCTGAGTAACAGCTTAGGCAACAGTTTGGGAACTGTTTGGGAATTAGCTTTGGCAACTGATTGGGAGACCAAAGGAAGGATTTGTCAAATAAAGCTAGGGGATGCAGAGCCAAGAGGGCAGCTAATTATTTTTGAAAACTAGTCACTGTGCTGATTTAATGTAAAGGTGGCTTTGTGCTTAACTCCAGGCACATCCCTAGATTACAGTATGAAATTTATGATCCTCAAGTAAGAAGGGAAGCATCTTTAGAAATGGAGAAGTAATGGGCCAGGTACTGTGGCTCATGCCTGTAATCCCAGCACTTTGGGAGGCTGAGGTGGGCAGATCACAAGGTCAGGAGATTGAGACCATCCTGGCTAACATGGTGAAACCCTGTCTCTACTAAAAATATGAAAAAGTTAGCCGGGCATGGTGGCATGTGCCTGTAGTCCCAGCTATTCAGGAGGCTGAGGCTGGAGAATGGCGTGAACCCGGGAGGCGGAGCTTCCACTGAGCTGAGATTATGCCACTGCACTCCAGCCTGGGCGACAGAGCGAGACTCTGTCTCAAAAAAAAAAAAAAAAGAAATAATGAACTTATCATCAACAGCACAGACAGCACATTACAAGTCTTCTATGAAATTTAGGTCTTCATTGGTTTCTGCCTTGATTATTACATTATAATAGTTTTCTAAATCATCTTTCTGTCTCAGGTTTCTTAGTCCTCCCCTTCATTCATGTTTATGTATACACTCATTAAACATTTAATTATTTCTTGTGCACTAGACATAGTTCTGAGCGCTAGGTGTTGTGAAATGAAGCCCGTCTTCTCCTAGAGTTTACATTCAAGTGGTGCTGGTGGTGGGGAAAAACAACAAATTGATATAGTAAAATAACAATAATGGCTACTATGTAAAGAATATAAGAATAACTGGTTACTTTGGAATAGGTGATCAAGAAAGCCTTCTCTGAAAAGGTCGCTTCTAAGCTGAGTACTAAATAAAAACCAGAAATAAGAGTATTCCTGGCAGAGAACACCTCATGCAAAGTCCAGAGGTGGGAACAGGGGAGCAGTCCAACAAGCTCAAGTGAAGACCAGGCCAGTGTGGCTATGCTACTGTGGGCCGGGGAAGGCGAGAGTAGGGAGTGAGGAGTGATATGAGATAGATGCATCAAGCTAGGTGCATTAGATAGGCTTTGTCAGAAGGCTAAGGAGTTTGGATTTTCTTCTTAGATTTTCTTCTAAAGGGTAGCCATTGGGGCATTTTAAGCAAACAAGTGACACATAGAATTTCTATCTTTGAAAGCATGTTATAGAATAAATATTCATGAATCATAGTGATATAAGTAAAATGTTTGAATAAATAAATAAATGAGGAAGGAAGTACAAATCTTTCTTACAGATAAACTCCTAGGCAAACATCATATGTTCTCACTTCTTTGTAGAATCTAAAAATCAAAACAATTGAACCCATAGAGACAGAGAGTAGAAGGATGGTTACCAGAGGCTGGGAAGGGTAGTAGGGGCCAGGGGTGAGGGGAGTGGGGAGTGGAGTAAGGATAGTTAATGAGTGCAAAAAAAAAAAAAAGTTAGAATTCCTAGGCCAGGTGTGGTGGCTCATGCCTGTAATCTCTGCACCTTGGGAGGCCTAAGCAGGAGAATGGCCTGAGGCCAGAAGTTTGAGACCAGATTAAATAACAAAGGAAGACTATCTCTACAAAAAATTTTAAAAATTATCTGGGCATGGTGGCAAGTGCCTGCAGTCCTAGCTACTCAAGAGGCCCCTGAGAAGGGAGCATCACTTGAGCCCAAGGAGTTCAAGATTGCAGTGAGAAATGATTGCAAGACTGCATTCTAGCCTGGGAGACAGAGCAATATCCTGTCTCAAAAAAAAGAGAGAGAGAGAGAGGGAAATTCCAAGCAGTAAATATAGATCTTCCCTCCTTGAGGAAGTGGAGCTTAATTCCTTGCCCTTTGAGTGTGGGCAGGTTTTAGTGACTCACTTGCAATGAACAAGAATATGGAAAGAGAAAAAGCAGTAACTTTATAATGGAGAAACCTGGGAGACACCACTAGTACCAAGTAATGAAGGTTAATGTTACCCAACATGATCTGATAAGAGGGATATTTTACTTCTGTGATAATCATCTCCCAAATTCATAATCATGAGAAAACAAAAGACAAACACAAATTGAGGGACATTATACAAAATACCTAATTAATGTTCCTCAGAACTGTTAAGTCAATGAAAATCAAAGAAAGATTGTGTAACTGTCATAGATTGGAGAACACTAAGGAGATACAACAGTTAAATGCAACACAAAATCCTGGATTAAATCCTCAAACAGAAAAAGGATATTAGTGGAAAAACAGTGAAATCTAAATAATGTTTGTAATTAGGTTAATATAGATGTACCCATTTTTCAGCTTTGATAAACATACCTGGGTTGTGTATGATGGTAACATTGGGAAAGCTGGGGGACAGGAATACAGGAACTCTCTATAATATCTTTCAGAACTTTTCTGTAAATCTAAAATTATCCCCAGAAAAGTTTAAAAAGAAAACAAATAAAAGAGAGGATTCTAGCTTCTCTGTGATGATTAAACTGAGTTTGAGGTTCAAGAGTGAAAGCAGAGAGCCCAGTAGGAGCTAGGTCTACTGGAGTGGTCCAGATGAGAGATGATAACTGTGCCCAGAAGGCTCTTAGATGATGGGGGAGATGCTGGGAAGGGTACATATTTGAATTGTTCTGGAAGTAGCCAAGAAAAGATTTGGGGATTGGCTGAATGGAATTGGTATCACAGGGAAAATAGGAGAGAGGGGCGGGAAAAGAGAAACTGTAATGAGTTATTTTTCGAAAATACAGATATAGTCATGTCAATTCTCATTTCAGAAATCTTCACTACCTTCCCCCTTAAAGTGTAATAGAGACCACACTCTTCATTCTGACCTACAGGACCTTCCATAATTCATTCCCTGATTATAGCTTCTCGTATCTTACCATCTTACCTCCTACACACGTTGCTCCACATGCAGACATTCATACCTAAAAGTTCCAATTCTGAGTCATTTCAGATCCTGGAAGGGTTATTTTCACCTCTTAAAACACCAGAACATGCTCACTATCTTACTATCTTGCTAGTTAATAACAATAATAGAAGAAAAAAACTTTTCTGGGCTTTTACAGCCTGTCATGTCCTGTGCGAAGAGTTTTACCGTCATCACCACAGTAACTCTCAACAATATTCCTATGACGAGAGTGCTTTGCTTTTCCTTTGTCTGCACTTTGGGAAGCTGATGCTTATGGGTGGGATGGCTTTATAATTTATTGTCCAAACAGAAAAGGAGCACTGTGCATACTTACCTTGGAACAACATGTGCAACTGGGAAAGCCAGGACACATGGTCTTACTAGTTGGTGTAAAATTTGCCAAAGTCCACAAAATTAGCAAGTGACACAGCAGAGCTTTAAATTATAATATTTTAGAACACACACTCTTAATAGTTATAATGATACTCTCTTGGTAGTGGGTTATGAGTTTGGTTAATGACTAGACCTCTCTGAGTGGTATGTTCCTCGTGGATACAAATGGTGTTGCTGAGATATTGATTACTAAAGCACTTAACTAATAAGATGATGGTTAGTAAAACAACATGGCTGGGGGTGTTGGCTCACACCTGTAATCCAAGCAGAATTTTTTGGGAGGCAGAGGTGGGAGGATCTCTTGAGGCCAGGAGTTTGAAGCCAGTTTGGGCAACATGGGAAGACCCTGTCTCTACAAAAATAGACAAAAAACCAATTAGCTGGGCATGGTGATGTGTGCCTGTAGTCCCGGCTAACTACAAGGCTGAGGTGAGATGATCTCCTGAGCTAGGGAGGTTGAGGCTGCAGTGAGCCCATGATTATGCCACTGCA
Organism: Homo sapiens; assembly: GCF_000001405.40. NCBI lineage: Eukaryota > Metazoa > Chordata > Mammalia > Primates > Hominidae > Homo > Homo sapiens. Next base: position 51,721,180 of record NC_000010.11, read on the forward strand.
CTCCAGCCTCTGGGTGACAGAGCAAGACCTATTAAAAAAAAAAAAAAAAAAAAGAAAAAAAAAGTAAAACACTTAACATTGGCAAACATTCAATAAATGAGTACCTAGCACATTATTTTGCTGTTAGTTGGTGCTGGCTTTTTTATAGGTTTTATTAAATGCACTCATGTACTTCAAGGCAAAGAATTTGATTGACTGGCCAAAGGGGTGACCAGGAACTACGTGGAACCCAGAAGTAGATTTTGGAGAATGTTCCTCAGTAACAGAAACCTTGCCTTCTTGCAGTTGCTTCAGAGCCAGAGCCAGAACTAGAGAAATCTTTGGTAGAAAAGTGCGGTGGAAATCCACGTTATTCACCACAGTAAACCGAACAGCTATCCTTGGATCTATTACTCCAAGGGAAGCACAAGGTATAAGGAGGCTCTCTTTAGTGCACGAGGCTCACACTCTCTGATACCACTTGCTGCTAATATAATTAATAAGCATATATTTTCTAAATATTTTAATCTGCTGTGTAGCCCAGGCAGTATAGAGGATATTATTATCATAACCAGTGGTATTTTCTTATATTTTCATGTTCCTGTGTGAAATGGCAACTCTAAATATCAACCATGGATGTTTTGCTGAATTTTCAGTCTATAACCATGTACGCTAACATGATGCATTTTCTCCAGGGACTGCCTAATAATTCCATTTAGCTATAAACATGCATTTTTGCCTTGCCTTCTTCAGGGAAGGATTCATACTTTAACATTAAATTATTCATTACAGGCAGGGTGCGGTGGCTTACGCCTGTAATCCCAGCACTTTGGGAGGCTGAGGCAGGTGGCTCAAGAGGTCAGGAGTTCAAGACCAGCCTGGCCAAGATGGTGAAACCTTGTCTCTACTGAAAACACAAAAATTAGCTGGGCATGGTGGTAGGCACCTGTAATCCCAGCTACTCGGGAGGCTGAGGCAGAGAATTGCTTGAACCTGGGAGGCGGAGGTTGCAGTGAGCCGAGATCGTGCCACTGCACTCCAGCCTGGGCAACAGAGCAAGACTCTATCTCAAAAAAAAAAAAACAACAACATAGTTTTCAATTATGGCTGTTTGCCATCACAATTTTCTTCTGAAAATCTTTCATGTGATTTGTATTGTTATAATTTAAACTGTGGACAATTTACCTTCTATTTGCATGACAACATACCTGGTGCCTTACTTAGTATGGAGAACATAAAACACCATTCCTGTCCACAAGGAACTTCCTGAATGATTATATTTATTTATCATATATATATTTATTTGTTTTATATTATGTTGATACTTATTAAGTATCTACTGTTTTATAAGTGTCTTTACATGGAAAATTTATTCATCTTTTGCAATAACCTTATGATCTAAACAGAGCTGTGCCTATTTTATGTATTACACCAACATTCAGAGAGGCAAAATATTTCACCTCTATGGCAAAGAAAGCATTTAAACCTAGTTTATCTCTGGCTCTAAGGCATCTATTCTTACTGGAAAACCATAGTTTGTTTTCATGGAACAAGTAGAGCAGTAAGAAAGCATACAAATACATATATTTATATTTAGAATTCTATCTACATTTTTCAATGTTGATAGTCAAGGATTATAAAAGCATTTATAGATACAAGAGAGAGTTATCTCACTGCTAAAGGACTGATTAAATGTTAAATCTCAGTCTCGCAGAAAAGTTCATAATCCATGTAAAATAAACAGGTAGAATTCTTCTGCCTACTTGATCTCTCTCCAAGTGGAAGGATTTACCCAAATGAACGTGTTCTCTGTGGCTCATCCAGCCCTTTGTTTAGAAGTTTTCTTTCATGAAAGTATGATAACATCAGGTTTTGGCTCTTTTATCTTCTTTTGTTATTGAGAAAATTATGTTAACCTGTTTAAACTGAATTTGATGTTTTTGTCATAAGTGGTCACCATACCACTTTCTGTCTGAAAGGTAGATATGTCAAGGTATTATAATAATCCTGATTAATTGAGTTTATTGCAGCACTGTTCACAATAAGAAAGACTTGGAATCAACCCAAATGCCCATGAATGATAGACTGGATAAAGAAAATGTGGCACATATACACCATGGAATACTATGCAGCCATAAAAAGGACGAGTTCATGTCTTTTGCAGGGACATGGATGAAGCTGGAAACCATCATTCTCAGCAAACTAATACACGAATAGAAAACCAAACACCACATGTTCTCACTCATAAGTGGGAATTGAACAACAAGAGCACATGAACACAGGGAAGAGAACATCACACAACAGGGCCTGTCAGTGGGTAGGAGGCTAGGGGAGGGATAGCATTAGGAGAAATGCCTAATATAGATGAAAGGTTGATGGGTGCAGCAAACCACCATGGCATGTGTATATCTATGTAACCTGCATGTTCTGCACATGTATCCCAGAACTTAAAGCATGACAAAAAAAAAGAAAAAGTTATCTGATGGTGCCAGTCAATCCCAAGACAAAATCCCAAACACCAACATTCTGAATGCTGCAACCTTGAAAGATCAAAATATTTAACATAAAAAATCCTGAAAATCACACTCCAGAAGATTAAAACCTCAAATGTTGAAATCCTAAAAGATGAATTTTGGAGAAGAAATTAATGTATTTTCTGTTGTTTGCAGAATAGTTGCATCATATTAGTTGGATCATGTTAGGTGAAACTATTATCTTGTTATTGTCTTTATTTGGAAACTAAGTATGGTTTAAGGAGTTTCGTATGGGTTTCAACTGATAAGGGGTGGACTTGTGGACTTAATTTTAGGTGCCAACTTAACTGGATAAAAGAATACCTGTAAACCCAGTAAAGCATTATTACGGGTGTGTCGATGTGGAGATTAGTGTGTGTGTCTGAGTGGACTAGGTGGGGAAGATCTGCCCTCATATTTCCAGTATTTCAAAGATCATAGAGGGGGTAAAAAAGCAGGTGAAAAATACAAGAAATCTCCCCTGCCAAATTATTCAGTTGTGTACACTATCAGTCTCTTTACACACAGGACCATGCTTGCTTTCCAAAAACACCTTTTGTCATAGGATAAAAATAATTCAACAGGCTCAGTGACCTTCTGCACTAAATATATTTGCTGATATGGAAGTTTCTCCCGTGATTATAATGTACATAGATGGTGAACTATTCTTGGTTAGGGATTTGACTTTGGAAGAAGATAGATTTCCTATATTTACCACTAAATTTATCATAGACAAACTAGTGCATGCTTCATTTTGGCCAATGGATGGCACTTTCAAAACCGTCCCTACTGTTTTTCTTATCAACTCTGCCTAATTCATGCCCTTATTGGATCTGAAAATTCTAGAACTTATTTACTTCTTTTAAATTTTTGAATAATGATGATTATTATTCTTTAAATTGAGATGGGGTCTCACTATATTGCTCAAGTTAGTCTTGAAATTCCTGGACTTAAGTGATCCTCTTGCTGTGGCCTCCAAAAGTGTTGGGATTATAGGCAAGAGCCACCGTGCCTGGCTTCATTCATGGGTTTTTGTTTCTCGAGACAAAGTCTCATTCTGTTGCCCAGGCTGGAGTGCGGTGGCACTATCACAACTCACCGCAGCCTCAACTTCCTGGGCTCTCAATCCGTCCTCCTGCCTCAGCCTGAGTAGCTGGAACTACAGGTGAGTGCTACCATGCCTGGCTAATTTTTGTACTTTTTTTTTTTTTTTTTTTTTGTAAAAATAGGGTTTTGCTATATTGCCCAGGCTGGTCTTGAACTCCTGGACTGAAGTAATCCTCCTGCCTTGGCCTCCCAAACTGTTGGGATTGCAGGCGTGAGCCACTGCACCTGGCCTCATTTATGTTTTAATGACTGGAAAAAATCAAGCACTTTATAAACATTTATTTGAAGATTTGGTGGACTTGCAGAAGAAAATGAATTACAATTGAATCCCCAAACCATAATGACAGATTTGGAATTAGGTACAATCAAGGCTTCTAAAAGTGAATTTCAAGGTGTTACCAATAGTTTGTTTTCTCCATTCAGCCCAATGCATATGGCAAAAAATTCAGATGTGTGGATTGCCACATGATATGGCAACAACGAAAACTTCAGTTTAAAAATGTTTCAGGTGTCTGCACTGGCCATTTCCTTCCAGCTGATGGAATTTTAGGAGATTTGAATGAATTAAAGCTGCATTTGTCTGAAGAAGCCAGTGAAGTTACTGACTAGTTTGTAAATAATTATGTGCATGGTAGGGTAAAAAGACACTTAGGCAACTTTTTTTTTTTTTCCTTTGGTCAATCACTAGTATTGTTTCCACCAAATTTGTGGCCTGTATATGAGTCCATGCTTAATGGATTTCTGCATACCCAAAACAAAATAGAAGCATGGCACAGAAGATGGGAAGATTCGATAGAGCATGCTTATGTTGGTGGATATGGAATCATAGAAGAATTTCTTTTTTCTTTTCTTTTTTTTTTTTGTGGGGGTCGGGGACAGGGTTTCATTCCTGTAGCCCAGGCTAGAGTACAGTGGCATGCTCTCGGCTCACTACAACCTCCACCTCCTGGGCTCAAGCGATCCTCCTGCCTCAACCTACAGAGTAGCTGGGACTACAGGCACATGCCACCATGCCTGGCTAATTTTTGTATTTGTATTTTTTCAGTGATGGGGTTTCATCATGTTGGCTAGGCTGGTCTTGAACTCCTGACTTCAAGTGATCCACCTGCCTTGACCTCCCAGAGTGCTGGGATTACAGGCATGAGCCACCGTGCCTGGCCAAAGAATTTCAAAAAGAGCAGCACCACTAGAACATGAATGTAAACATATTCTCCTAGGTGAGCAATGCCCTAAAAGAAAATAAACAAACAGCTATTCATCACAATGCAAAACTTCAAAATATAGTTGATCATGAAAGTTGACTAGCTCTTATACACTACCTCTGTGTAATTTCCCATAATGTAATACTGTTTGTCAAATTTTCTTTTTTGGTGTTTTGAGGTCTTTTTTTAAAGTTTGTTTTTCCCCTCACTATTTTAAATCATCAGCATTATCCTTTTACACATCACTATGCTATGTATTTTAGTTTTGCATCCTTTCTAATACTGGAGGCATACATTTTGTAAAGACTTTTAGAGAGTTCTAATTCATTTTATGCATTTTTGGCAAATTTGACTTTGCAAAAGAGTGTTATCACAATGTTGACTTTGTGTAAGCATTGTGCATGTATGTAAAACCATTGAAACTTCCTCAATAAATGAAGAGATGTCCTCTTGTGCATCTGCATTTGTGAAAGATAAAATTTCTTAAACTCTCAGCTATTTGGGTGGCTGCATATGCAGTAGTGACCATCATGGTTTTTGATAAATTTTGTCAGATGACTCAGGTTGTCTGTCACGATATTTCAGATGATCACAGTTATAAAGCCGGGTGCACACAATTGCCACTGTGATATGTGTGTATACATTGCACTTTTTACCAATTTCCTTATGAATATAGTCTGTTCATAGTTGTTGTACCCATGTAACCATGGTTAACGTAACTGGGTATATATACTTGCAAATATATTTGTTATTAATGCCTATTGAATGAATGCCTATGAAGTAGTCTGACATATTTTGTTTGTTTGTTTGTTCTGAGATGGAGTCTCGCTCTGTCGCCCAGGCTGGAGTGCAGTGGCACGATCTCCTCTCACTGCAAGCTCCGCCTCCCAGGTTCACGCCATTCTCCTGCCTCAGCCTCCCAAGTAGCTGGGACTACAGGCACCCGCTACCACACCCAGCTCATTTTTTTTTGTATTTTTATTAGAGACAGGGTTTCACCATATTAGCCAAGCTGGTCTCGATTTCCTGACCTCATGATCCGCCTGCCTCGGCCTCCCAAAGTGCTGGGATTACAGGTATGAGCCACCGCACCTGGCCTAGTCTGACATATTTTTATGGACTTCTCAAATAAATTCCTCTTTAAAAATGTAAACGAATGTCTTTTAAAGAATTTTTTAAGCTAGGCATGATGACACACACCTGTGGTCCCAGCTATTTGGGGGGCTGAGACGGGAGGATACCTGGAGTCCAGGAGTTTCAGACCAGCCTGGGCAACACAGTAAGACCCCATTGCAAAAAAAAAAAATATATATATATATATTTTTTTTACTTTTCTCAGAGTTATATTTTTGGAATTTTGATGTCTTGGGACTTCAGCATTCAGGATTATGGTGCTCAGGATTGTGTCTATTGGAATTACGGTTCAAACCATCTTCTGATAAGTAGAAAGGGGTCAATGTGTCACTCTTAGCAGACTGCTATCGAGTGAAACCAAGATTCTATTGAAATTAATGTTTTGCTTTTGCCAGCTGCATAGAAATTTCTCCGAGTTAAACCTGGGATTCCGTTGACATTAATGTTTTGCTTTGGCCATTAGCACAGAAATTTCTACTATTTAAATGAAGCCCTAATATTCCCAGATGAACAGAGAGGCAGTACCTTAAGTCTGTACCCTATATCTTAACTCATATCTCCGGAGAGTAGTTCAATAGGCTGGTAGCTGACTATAAGATTTATGTAGTCTAGCAGAGGAATTGGATGAGGGGTAAATGACTGTTTAAACCTATATTATTGCCTTTTGAAATTAAGAGTTCCAAGGGAGTTATTATATTTTAATATATTGAAGTCTAAAAGAGTATTCATTAATATGTATGCATTGATACAGTGGCCCAATTTGAAACTTAATTCAAATGAAGACCGTGTGCCCCAAGAGATAAATACTTCTGTCCAAATTGCTGTAACAAAAATGAAAAGCAGAAATGAGAGTTGTCTTCCCTGCAATTTGGAAGTCTTGCTTTAATGAATAGTTGACTTTTTTCCTATTTCAAAAATAGTACCTCCTTCAGAGTTTAAAATTTAAACCACACAGAAGAAAAAAAAGGTCATGCGCACAGAAGATTTTCTATATATAATATAGCACACTTCACCTGGGAAACTTGATGTATAAGCTATAGATTGCTATTCATAGATCATTCAGAAATATATTAAATTTGAGATTTTTTTTTACCCCCAGACAAGAGAAAGTGCAAAGTAATTGATTCTGTTTCTGTTTGCAACTGTACTAAGATATTGCCTATAATGCCCCCAAATTACTTTAAAAATAAACTTCAAAAAGAAATGAATTAGGAAATGTTATAAATCTATGGAAAATGCTTCACATTTTGTCTTGAATAAACAGAAGTTTCTTTGAAATTAGCATCTTTAAAAATGTGCTCTTTACAACAAACAATAGCAAAATTCCATTTTTTCTTTGTTTTTTTTTTTTTTTTTTTTTTTTTTTAATCAGAAGCAAAACCACAAAATCCTCACTCTCAAGGAATGCACAGGCTATTGCAGAAGCCAGGAAGAAATCTATATTATTACAGAGTACTTATCTCAGAAGGGTTGTTATAAATATTAAATGAGAGTTATTTTATGGAATACATCTGAACTAGTGCCTGGCACATAAAAAGTGTTATATAAGTATCAGCTATTGTAATTACAGAGTGACAAATAAAAGGTCGGAGTGCTATGGTTATGGAATAGAATGATGAGAAAGGAAACTTCCAGGAGCTTAGGTGTACTTTAAGTGCAGGTATCAAATATTGATGCTTCATTATGGCAAGGGGGCTAACAAGTTGCCAGTGTGTCACAAGTCAACATGCAGGCAAAGATGGAAACATTTTCCAGATCTAAAATGTAGTTAAATATGTTGTACTTTGGAATCGTATATGAACTTTATTCCCCTTTCAGAATTACAAATCTCTTAGAAAGCCATTTTATTTCTTTCTGAAACTAAGTTATGATCATCTACTATTTAGCACAGAAATAAAAGGGAGGGATAAAATCTACCAACCCAGCAAAGACACATCTTGCTTTGCATATCTTGAGGAAGGCCATCAGCAAAATGGAAAGATGACTCTCTGTTGATTACTCTATGTTGAGAACCTTAAGATTCAGATGGTATAGGATTCCAGCTAGGCAGTTGTGAACTGTCCATTTGTCTTATGCAAGAAAGTCTCTTCAGCTTTCTGAACTTTTCTGTATTTCACATACTCATTCTAGTTCATGCTCATGTTCAAAGCTTGGCTAGAATAGCATGAAAAAGTTTCCAAAGTAAACTCAGCATAACTCAAACATTTTTCTAGGGTTTATTATCTCTAGTGGAAAGGTGAAAAGATAGCTTGCCTTTTATTTTTAAACACTTTACCTGAGTGATAAAATAACCCAAAAGCCACTGTCAAGAATGAGAAAAATTGACTGGGCACGGTGGCTCACACCTATAATCCCAGCACTTTGGGAGGCCAAGGCGGGCTCAGGAGTTCGAGACCAGCCTGACCAACATGGTGAAACCCTGTCTCTACTAAAAATACAAAAATTAGCTGGGCATAGTGGCGGGCACCTGTAATCCCAGCTGCTCAGGAGGCTGAGGCAGGAGAATTGCTTGAACCCAGGAGGCGGAGTTTGCAGTGAGCCGAGGTCATGCAACTGCACTCCAGCCTGGGCAACAGAGTGAGACTCCATCTCAAAAAAAAAAAAAAAAAAAAAAAAAAAAGGATGAGAAAAATTGAGAAGCCATAGGCCGTGGTAATTCAAACTACATCATCAGCTACTGAAAAAGTAGAATGAGTGATGTTTTCAAATGCACTTATACCCCTTTTAAAAAATTATTAGACTTTATTTTGTAGAGCAGTTTTAGATTCACAGCAAAATTAGCAGATGATCCAGAGATTTTTCATGTACTCCCTGCTCCCATACCACATAGCTTCCCCTGTTATCAACCTCCCACACCACGGTGGTACGTTCGTTACAACTGTGAACCTATATTGACCCGTCATTACCCAAAGTCCATAGTTTACATTAGGGTTCACTTGTGGTGTTATGCATTATATGGGTTTGGACAACTAGAGTCTCTTTTTAAAAAGAACTCCCTTGTGGTGAAAATGAAATCTGAGTCTGAGAATAGAAGTGTTTTCAGTTGTAGTAAAATTGGAGCTGATGCTCCAGAGGCTGTTGCAAGGATGTGCCCTCAGGCGAGGGCACAGACCTCTCAACCTAGAGCACTAATAGTTAAAGTTTGGTAGCCTCAAGCCTTTGCATTGCTTTGTACTGGCTTAATGGCTTTTACTGTTTAATATGTTACAAAGACTCTGGTCTTCAAAAGTAATGAAGTGCAAACATGAATGACAATTGAAAATGTAGTTTGACTGATGACTGAGAAGAAAGGGACTAGAAATAACGCATTTTAGACTTTGACCTTGCAGAGAGTTCTTTACTCATGTGAAGTGGGATGGGTGAAAAACATAGCTTTTTTTCTTTCTTTTCCCCCCTGGCTTGCTTCCAGAATTCATATGTAAGCGTACTTTGTAGAAACTGTGTATGTATTGCAATAAATTAAACTAGTGGCTTTCAAGTTTTTTGGCCATATCCCACAATAATTTTTTATGTTGCAATCTATCAAATACACACACGTATCTGACAAAAAATTATTAGTATTAGTTAAATTCTGGTCACAATCTATGTAACCCCAGTTTGGACGAAGATAAAGTGAGTTAAACCTTCCTGCAGCACTGCCTGGGAGGCAACATTTTTAAAGAGGGAAAATTAAACCTGTTTATTCAAATTTAAAAGAATAACAGATATATGATCAGGAGGAGGAGACTATTAATGTATTTCAACTTACAAAAACCTTCTGGCCGGGCGCAGTGGCTCATGCCTGTAATCCCAGCACTTTGGGAGGCCGAGGCGGGTGGATCACCTGAGGTCAGGAGTTCGAGACTAGCCTGGCCAACATGATGAAACCCTGTCTCTACTAAAAATATAAAAATTAGCCGAGTGTGGTGGTGGGTGCCTGTAATCCCAGCTACTCGGGAGGCTGAGGCAGGAGAATTGCTTGAACCCAGGAGACAGAGGTTGCAGTGAGCCGACATGATGCCACTGCACTCCAGGGTGAGGCTCAGTCTCAAAGAAAAACAACAAACAAACAAACAAACAAACAAAAAACCCACTTCTGATAAGGTCTTATATTGAGAACTAATATCAATTCAGTTAACTGGTTTTTGGAAGAAATGTTCCCAAAGTAATAACATTAGCAGAAATGGGGGATTTCAAGTTTGGGAATAAAGTTTTTATTGAAAGTGTTTAAAAAATGATCTGGATTAGATGGTAGCCCGTTAATTCTTAAATTTAAAAAAAATGGAAACAAAGTGGTGTCTGTATTTTTAATATTCCCCCACCCTTGGTATTTCTGCTGCAATTTGTCTTCATAGGCCATTTTTAGAAATGTTTTCACAAACTAGAACAGTATTAGTAGGCCTGAAGAAAGAAGCCCAGACTTGAGAAAATTTAGCCGTTAAAATATTCGGGACTTCCAGTATTTAGTTTTCTAGAGACAAACCATCAAGAAGAGAAAATAATTAATATACAAGGATAGATCTGAATAAGAATAGGTCAAGTTAAAGTGTTTTTTGTGTATGTAACCTGTATGCCTATGTGCATCAGAAAATTGAATATATAATTTTGTCTCTCAAAGGAGAAGTTTAGATTTGGAGAGAGAGATTTGGAAGCTATGTTAGTTTGTTAGGACTGCCATAACAAAATATCACAGACCGCGTGGTTTACAAAACAGAAATTTATTTTCTCAAAGTTCTGGAGGCTAGAAGTTTAATGTCAAGGTGTTTAAAGTAGGATTGGTTTCTTCTGAGGCCTCCCTCCTTGGCTTGCAGATGGCTGCCCTTCTTGCTGTGTCCTTACATGGTCTTTCCTCTGGGTGCATGGCCCCCTGGGGTCTTTCTCTGTGTCCAAATTCCCTCCCTCTCCCCCTCCGCCCCCGTCCCTCCCTCCCTTCCTTCCTTCTTTCCTTCCTTCCTTCCTTCCCTCCTTCCCTTTTGTTTTTGTTGAAACAGAGTCTCACTCTGATGCCCAGGCTGGAGTGCAGTGACACAATCTTGGCTCTTTGCAACCTCCGCCTTCTGGGCTCAAGTGATCTGCCTGCCTCAGCCTCCCAGAGTGCTGGGTCTACGGGCATGAGCCAACACACCTGGCCCAAATTTCCTTTTCTTATAAAGACATCAATCAAGTTGGATTAGGGTCTACTCCTATGGTTTCATTTTAATTCAATGACCTCTTCACAGGCCCTGTCTCCACATACAGTCACAGTGTGAGGTATGGGGGCGAACACAATTTAGGTCATAACAGGTTCCATCAGAACATGAAAGGATAGTAAATAAACATATATTAAGCATTGAATCCTTAGAAGCACTTACATCTAACGATTAATAAAGGGGTGGAAATCCACGACAAAAACAGAAACATGGTCAGAGAGGTATACAGAGAGCAAGAACGGTGAGATTCAAGAAAGTGAAATTCTTTTTTGATATGGAATGCATGATCAAGTTCCTTCCTAATAATATCTAATAATAGTAGTGAAGAAAAAATTATTTTTGTTTGGAAACTAGAAATTATTAAGGATCTTAACGAAATCAGATTCTGTTGAGTGGTGCTGAAAGTTAGATTTTGCTGAGTTGATAGCTAAATTGAAGGCAAAAAGAATAAACACAACCAATTTACCAAGCCACGAAAATAATAGATTTTGAAACTTGTAAGATCTCACCTTAATAAAAATTATAAGCTAGGCTATCTTACTAGATGGGAGATGTCTTATTCATTTTGGGCTGCTGAAATAAATTAATATAACTGGATGACTTAAATAACATACATTTATTTCTCCTAGTTCTGGAGGCTTCGATTCTGAGATTAGGGTGCCAGTATGGTCCAGTTCTGGTGAGGATCTCTTTCTGGTTTGCAGACAGCCACCCTTTGGCTGTGTCCTCAAATGGTAGAGGAGAGAGAGAGAGAGAGACAAAAAATAAAAATAAAAAATAAACAACAACAACAAAAAAAACACACCTCTTTCTCTTGTCTCTTCTTATAAAAACACTAATCCCATCATAAGGCACTACTAGCCTCATGACCTAATTACTTCTCAAAGGCCCCATCTCCAAATTCCATCACACTGGGATTTAGGGATTCAATATATGAACTTTAGGGGGAAACACACATAGCAGAAGTGACTTTCAGAAGCCTAACACCTGAGTCATCATATACTGAAAACTCAAGACAAATTCTGGAATGCAGAAGAAAAACCCTAGATGGCTGTAAGATTTTTAGGAACTTGTGTGGGGGTGGTTGATACAGTTTTCCACAGGATTCTTCTTGATGTTATTAATACTATTAGTTGCACCAACTAATAGGAACGTCTTGAACCAACTAATAGTAACATCAATAATAAATCTGAACCAATGATCTGAAATTTATTATCTTACACTTTGCTTTTTTTCTCTATATAAGATGGAGTTGAAAAGCAAGTAAGTGATCACTTGATCTCCCTCAAGTATCTTTAAGAGTTAGAGTCTAAATATCAGAAAGTACTTTTTGTTGAGGATGATTTGATAAAAAGAATTCCAATAACAGGCTTAAGTGAAGTTTTGGTCTTATAGGAATAGAGCACTGTAAGCAAATCAATACTGAGCTCGGCCATAAGTGGATATGATTGCTGGTGTAATGGGTGAGCTGCCAACAGTCATGATGCTAGCACTTTTGATCCTGCAATTGTCGCAATGAATATTTTGAGTACCTTGGGACCCTCAGTAGTTATATATTATTTTTCTTCTCTGTGTTCTCAAGTTTGAACTTCTGGTGTTAATTAGAACTCTGCATACCTGAAGTTAAAAAATATAAAATTTTAGATTATTATTAGGAAAAAACTCCATATACTCCAGCTATTAAATAGTGTTATTATTCTGTATTTAATTCTTGGCATTCTAATAAACAAAATGTTTCTATAACAGGTTCTTGTGATCACCTTTTTAAAAAAAGTATTTTAGCTTTTTTAAAAAAAAATTATTATTTTTTTTGCTCCTGGCATCTTAAACCAAACCTAAAAATTACCAATATTTTCCTTCAGTGAATAACATTATATGACTGATAAATTGTCAACATTCATTCAATTTCATGTCCTGCCCTTATAAATATTGGGGATGATCAAGGTATGCATTTTAAAAATGTTAAAATATGCTGGGTGATAATGGCTTGCATCTATTTGAAGAACTATTTAAAATAAGGTTAGAAGTGAAAACATACTACTAGAGCAAAACTTACCTCATTGTACACTGAAATTATCTACAGATCTTCCTCTTTTAAACTGTGAATTAAATATGAGAGATATTGTTATTTTATTTTATTTTATTTTTATTTCAGTGACTATATAATACCTGGCCCAAGAGCACACAATAAATATTTGTTGAATAAGGAACTGAATTTAGAAGTCACAATGAGATCAGTGTAACGCTGCCCCAAATGTAGGCCTTGAGAAGGAATGTCCAATACGGAGTAAATGGATACTAAAAAGTTTGGTTCCTTCTTAGTTGAGGGATCGTGAAAATAAAATAAATATTTCTAAAGAACCCTCCAATTTTTCACTAAGGGATGGTAGGTCAAGATAAACACAGACTGAAATAATCCAAGAGGTATGGAAACACTGGCTTCTTCCAAAACAGAATAAATCTGCAGCAGCTGTCACAGTTTTTCTACTCCACTGAAAAGTTCAATAGTAATTTAAAAGGAGGAAAGAATTCAGTCTTATCTGAAAATGGGCTATTGTTCTATTTGTATTGTTAGTAAGCAGCAGCCATGGAAACATATAGGCTCATTTAAAAGAATAAGGTCCCATCTATAGTGTGTTATATGCTCAGGGGTTAAGTGAAGGATTCTGCAGGAAAGTACCGGTCATTCTCATTTGTGGGAGGATTTCTGGAGATATTCAATAAAAATCCCGGGCTCTGAAGAAGCAGAGTGAGATAGGGAATTAGGTAGGAATTATAAAGACAAAACAGGAGAGCACACACCTACCATCCCATCCTTGTGCCCTAGAAGACATCTGTTAGGGGATGGAAATGGAAACCACGCAAAAACAAATTGCTCACTTCCAGACAGATTAGCTATCTTTATGTATTGTTTGCTACATGTGTTTCTTTTATGAAGAATACTTTCTAGGGTCAATGTGGAGAAGTGAAAATTCCTTGCGCAGAGTTCAGTTTCTAAGTCCTTGGTTTAGAACTGAAATCAGGAATTGTCATTTGAGCTTGATGTATGTTTTATTTATGGGTAATGCATTAGGATTTATTAACAAGGAGTAAATGGTAATTTTCTATGCCAATTAGTTTTGCCTTTTGTGGGAAGAAATGGATTTTCCTCATCTTAATGTGTGAAACTCTACAGTATCCTGTTTTTCATGGTTCCCAGAAGGGAATGAGGACATTTGGATACCAATAATTGAGGAATCATGCCTTAAAGAAACACAAGAAATATACAGGCATTCCTCAGTATTTGTGGGGGGATTATTCCAAGACTGTCCTTGGATACCAAATCCACTCAAGTCCCTGATATAAAATGGCATAAATTTGCCCATAACTTATGCCAACCCTTCTGTATACTTTAAATTATCTCGAGTAGTTATAATACCTAATACAAAATGTAAATAGTTGTTATACTGCATTATTTAGGAATAATGACAAGGGAAAGTCTATATGTGTTTGGTACAGAGGCAATTTTTTTTTCAAATGTTTTCTATCCCTGGTTGTGTAACCCATGGATATGGGGCAGGGGGCCTGACTGCATATATATATATATATATATATATATGTATATTTATTTATTTATTTATTTATTTTTCCCTCCAACTTTAAGTTGTCTTTTTTTTTTTTTTTTTTTTTTGGAGTGCACGACTCACTGCAGCCTCGACCTTCTGGGCTCCCACAATGCTCCCACCTCAGCCTCCTGAGTAACTAGGACCACAGGTGTGTGCCACTATGCCCAGCTAATTTTTGTATTTTTGTAGCTATGGGGTTTTGCCATGTTGGCCAGGCAGGTCTCCAACTCCTGGGCTCGAACGATCCACCTGCCTTGGCTTCCTGAAGTGCTGAGATTACTGCCGTGAGTCACCATGACTGGGAGTTATTTCTTGATTTTGTTTCAAAAGTTCTCAAGTGGTGGACATAGTGTCATCTGGCATTGGCTACTTTAAAAAAATTATTTATTATCATTATTATTTTTAAGTAATAGAGATGCTGTCTCAATATGATGCCCAGACTGGTCTCGAACTCCTGGGCTCAAACAATCCTCCCACTTCAGCCTCCCGAAGTGTTGGGATCACAGGCGTGAGCCACTGTGCCCAGTTGGATACTTTTATTAAACACATTCATCCCTCAATACTTTATTATGAAACATTTCAAACATATAGCAAAGTTGAGAGAAGTTTAGAGTGAATACTCATATACACACAATTTAGATTTTACCACTGACATTTTACTATACTTTCTTTATCACATAGTTATCCATCACCCTATTCATCCATAAATCCATCTTACTTTTTTTTTTTTTTTTTTAAGAGACAGGGTCTCCCCTCTGTTGTCCAGGCTGGAGTGCAGTGGCGCCTTCATAGCTCACTGTAATCTTGAACTCCTGGTTTCAAGCGGTCCTCCTGGATTCAAGCGGTCCTCCTGTCTCAGCCTTCTGAGTAGCTAGGACTACAGGTGCGCCACTACTACACCTGGCTAATTTTAACTTTTTTTTTTTTTTGTAGAGAAGGAGTCTCATTATGTTGCTCAGGCTGGTCTTGAATTCCTGGCCTCAAGCAGTCCTCTCACCTTGGCTTTCCAAAGTACTGGGATTACAGATGTGAGCCACACCACCTGGCCCATAAATCCATCTTACTTTTGATACATTTCAAAGTAAATTGCAGCTATCAGTTCACCATCCTTCAATACTTCAGCTTACATATTATTAACTAGATTATTAACAACTTTTAAAGATTATTTACAAACAGGTATATTTGAAGTTTATTATCAAGTACACTTTCAGCCTAAAAACCACCACAAATTTGACCACTGTGTACCTAAAGGAACTACTATTTGAATAAAGAAGTCTGGGAGCCTTCTGGCTACCTTGAGAAATCAGTTATGGTCTTTTCATCTTCCCCCACTCCCACATTCTTCCCCTGCCAATTGTTTTTCCATATAGCTACTGCTTCACATGCCCACTAGACACTGATGTAGCTCAAACGCTTTCTTACCGTTCATGGTATGATTCTAAAGAGCGTGTCTCTGCTTCTTCTTGTTCTTTCAACCCATCCTTCTTGAAAATGCCTATTATCTACTCAAAACAGATTGGAGAGAGTTAAAGCACTGATTTTGTTGTTGCCTGGTTTATTGCTTTCAATCTAATTGAGAGACGTTAAATGGCAGGGAGTCACATTGTTGTATTTCCCATTACATAAAGGGGTAGGTTTCACTGGTGTCGAAGGAATGACTGGATGTTGTCGGACAGGGACTCTCACTGCAGTTCATTGACTGTTGCTTGCCTGGTTTGTGCAAGTCATCTACAGAGCTATTAGAAAAGTTTCTGGTTCCTGCCCTGATCTCAAGAAATCTGGACTTCTGGTCTGGTAGGGAGCCTAGGACTCTATATTTTTATTTATTTATTTATTTATTTATTTATTTATTAATTATTATTATTATTATTATTATTATTATTATTATTTTCTGAGATGGAGTTTCACTCTTGTTGCCCAGGCTGGAGTGCAATGGCACCATCTCGGCTCACTGCAACCTTCATCTCCCAGGTTCAAGCGATTCTCCTGCCTCAGCCTCCTGAGTAGCTGGGATTACAGGCACATGCCACCACGCCTGGCTAATTTTTTTTTGTTTGTTTGTTTTTTGTTTTAGTAGAGACAGGGTTTTGCCATGTTGGCCAGGCTGGTCTCGAACTCCTGACGCCCACCTCCACCTCCCAAAGTGCTGGGATTACAGGCATGAGTCACTGCACCCGGCTGAATTCTGTATTTTTTAAAAGCTCCCAGGATTATTCTGATACACAGCAAATTTGGGGGAAATGAAAATAAGAGTATTGGTCAAACGTTGCCTGTTTCTTGCTGGTGATCTTCTCAAGTTATATATCCTCTTACAGTCCTCAGTGTCTTTAACTGTAAAGTGAAGAGGATGTACCAGATAGATATTACCTAGAGTTTTTTGTTTTCTAAATTTGTGCGCTCAGTTTAGTCCTTCAAAAGGGACGTTTGTAGGATCCATGTCTAGGAGAACAGAAGGAAAGATTGGAAATAGAAGAGCAAGTCACATCACCTGAGTTCAAATTCTATTTGTATGGCATGGTGCAAGTTATGTAATTGTAAGTTTCTTTTTCTCTAAGATGGGCATAGTAATAATTCTTCCTGCATGAAGCAGTTGCAAGAATGAAATGTGTGGCACAATATATGACAAATTCTAAACATTCAAAAAATGTTTTGCTAATTTGTTTTGTTTGCTGTTTTACATGGATGGAAGGGAATGGGAGGTAGATAGGTTATGAGAGGAGGAAAGACCTCCTATTAGTCTATATTCTGGTGAGAATGAGCTGACTGGGCTCTAATTTCACCTTGATCTTCACCACAATCTGTGTCCCTTGGCAAATCATAGCATCTCTGGGACTCCATTTATTGGACTGAGAAATGAAACAGTTTAGATGAAATAAACTTCAATCCCCCCTTTTAAAGTTAAAATTCTATTCTAATGTGATTCTGATAATTTTTCATGGCACTCCCTGATAGTGAATGCTGTG
The DNA here is from genome assembly GCF_000001405.40 of Homo sapiens. NCBI lineage: Eukaryota > Metazoa > Chordata > Mammalia > Primates > Hominidae > Homo > Homo sapiens. The sequence goes on from NC_000010.11 coordinate 51,738,851, forward strand.
AATTGTAAAACTGATAATATTTCCTCTCTTTGTTTTGTCTTCTAAGTTAGCTTCAAGTTGTATTTAGGACCAAAAATAAGCAACTATGAAAGACTTTAGCAGAGCTGGCTTCCTAGATGTGCATTCTATGTAGGCACATAGGGCTCTACATTTAGAAGGGCCATGTTACTTGTTTAATGCTCCTAGTTTAATATTGCTGTCCTGAAATACTTATTTTTTAACAAGGAACCTTGCATTTTCATTTTGCTCTGTGCTCTGCACATTATAAAGTCAGTCCTGGATCTTAGTATATATTTTTCTATTTTAGCCTCATCGTAATTGCCATGCATCCTAAATTTATTGTCTTTTTTTCCCTAATTGCTCTGTGTGTGTTTTTTGAAATATCATATATTCATTTGGTAAATAGGCAGATAATGGATAAATAAGGACATTATTCTCCTATGAAGATTTGCTTCCCAAAACTCCTAGCTATATTTCCCTCCTAATGTCAAACCTAACAGTATTTACTGTTTGTCATTCATCTTGATACTAGGTTATATATTACCTTGCATCACTATCTAACTTTGCCTTGTGGACATCTTAAAACTTCTCAGGTTATTATAACCTCTTTGAATTTTTATATCCCCAACAATGCCCATCTTCATGGGTATTGCTCCTAACAGCCTCCCAGAAAAATAATTTTTGAATTAATATAACTAGAAATTGAATTGATTTAACCAGCTAGAAGAAGAAAGGAGGGGAGATCTCAGCAAAGAGAAGGAAAAGAGGAAAAGGACCCCAAAGGATGGTCACAGAAGATAATCATTTGTCATTGCTTGATTTCCATTCCAAAAACCACTAGGCCAGGCGTGGTGGCTCATGGCTGTAATCACAGCACTTTGGGAGTCCAAGGTGGGTAAATCACTTGAGTTCAGGAGTTTGAGACCAGCCTGGAAACATGGTGAAACCCTGTCTCTATTAAAAATATAAAAAATTAGCCAAGCGTGGTGGCGCATGCCTGTAGTCCCAGGTACTCAGGAGGCTGAGGTGGAAGGATCACTTTATAGTGCAACTGCACTCCAGCCTGGGTGACGGAGCAAAACCCTATCTCAAAACAAACAAAATAGTAGTACAGAGATTTTCAATATTTTTGGTCTCCAGAGCACTTTACAGTCTTAAATATGATTGTATACCCACACAGATATTTTTTTCTTTTGTGATAGAGTTTCACTCAATCGCCCAGGCTGGAGTGCAGTGGTATGACCTTGGCTCACTGCAGCCTAGGCCTCCTGGGCTCAAGTGATCCCCCCATCTCAGCATCCTGGGTAGCTGGGACTACTGACACACCACCACACCCAACTAACTTTTGTATTTTTTGTAGAGACAGGTTTTTTCCATGTTGCCCAGGCTTGTCTCAAATTCCTCCTGAGGTCAAGCAGTCCCTCTGCCCTGGCCTCCCAAAGTGCTGGGATGACAGGCTGGAAACATAGCAACTGGCCCCCACACAGCTTTTAATGTGGGTTATAGCTATTGCTATTATAGGGGAAGTTACAAATTTTTATGATAATTATAAGATTTTTTAAATAACAAAACTATTACATGTCAACTTAATATTTTTCATTGAAAATATTTTTTCTCAAACAAATTTTGTGATGAATGACATTATTTTATGCTTTGCAAATCACTTTAATATCTGGATTGATAGAAGACAGCTGGATACTCATATCTACTTTTCATTCTTTCTGTTGTGATATCGTGTAGCTTCTGTAAAACTCTACCCTATACTTCTGAGAAAATATTAGTATAAATGGCAAATAATGTTTTATGGTTGTTATGAAAATCATTTTTACTCCATGGACTCCTTTAAAATGTCTCAAGGACTCTAAGTGTTCCCTGGACCACACTTTGAGAACTGATTCAGTAGAGTGACATCTTGCTGCCATAATATTTTTCAGAATCAAGATAGTAAATTCTACACAGCTATCTCCATTCCTTTAGCTGAGGTAGGTGGAATTTCGCTCTGAGGCTCAAAAAATAGAATACTTTATCTTCATATTTGCCAACCTGCATTGATTGCCCATTGATTTGTCCCAAAACTGAAAAAAAAAAAAGCATCAAGAGATTTGAGAGTTTTTAAAGATTCTTTCTCTTCCTTGCTTGCATGTTATAAATGATGGACAGACGCAGAGAAGGAGCCAAGTGTGGGGACACCATCATACAATGCTAAGTTTCTGAATCGAGGTGATTTCATTCTATTATTTTTTAAACTTAATGTTGGGAAACAATGGGAGGTGGATCTGAATGAAACCTTTGGTGAAAAAAAAAAGACATTGAAATAACTACTGGAATAAATTACTGAGTCATTCTGGGTGTAAAATATACATTTTAATGCATATTTCAATTGCTGTAATTTGAAGATATGTATCATGCACTCAGTTTCAATTCATTACTATTGGGAGCTCTGCATTATCAAGTCTAGGAGTGCTACAGTTCACATTAATTATTCAGAATAATGTTATTGACAGGCTTTTATTATAGGTTATATTTAATTTTGGGGGTCCATTTTCTGCATTCCTTCTCTTTACTAAAATCTCCCCTGTTTTCTTCTTCTAGCCAGTTAAATCAATTCAATTTCTAGTTAAATTAATTCAAAAATTATTTTTCTGGGAGGCTGTTAGGAACAATACCCATGAAGATGGGCATTGTTGGGGATATAAAAATTCAAAGAGGTTATAATAACCTGAGAAGTTTTAAGACGTCCACAAGGCAAAGCTAGATAGTGATGCAAGGTAATATATAATTTAGTACCAAAATGAATGACAAACAGTAAATGCTGTTAGGTTTGACATTAGGAGGGGAATATGGCTAGGAGTTTTGGGAAGCAAATCTACACAGAAGAATAATACCTTTATTATCCTAGGGATCCTACGGTAAAAAATAAGGTTCTTCGCATTTACCTGTAACCCCAGAGTTTTCAGTGCTAACTTTGTAGCTAATCTTTATAAAACTTGTTTTAAATTGGTATTTGGAACAAAATTCTATTTCCCAGTGGCAGATCACCAACTGGAGGCAGGAAGAAACTCTTAGGGAGCTGTAACTGGTTGTCAAAGATTAGTGTTCTGTGTTTAATAAACATGTCTCCCTAAAGTTATAAGTAGACTGGCTTTAGTAAACACATAGGTAGAAGTTTTCGCTTCTGTCTTACACATCCATCCAAAGCATTTGTCTGTGGCATTATTGTGATCTTGTGAGATAACTGTCTTCCTTAGGGAAGAGACACATTCTTACTTCTAGTGTGGTCTCCCCTAACCATCTGGGAAAGAGGCTGCTGCTGAGATTGTTAACTGGAACTCAGAAGGTGTATTTTATTCAGCAATCATGAGTTAGTGCAAGAGGGTAAGATTTACATTGAACCTGAATGTCTTAGTGATTATATGGCCTTGGGCAAATTACTTAATATCTGAGGACCTGCTTCCATGAAGACATTACATTTTCGGAAGATTTACTGTAGTAATAATGTAGAAGATATAATAAGGAGAATCTTGATACTCCAAAACCAACTATTTGGTTTGCCGCTTAATAGCCGTGAGATAAGAACATGAGTTAAGACACTTGTTGAGAGACTAACAAAGAGGGAGAAGACCAGAGAGATTATTAAACAGAATCAATAAGTTTAGTGACTAGTTGGATGCAGGTGGTATGAAAGAGGTAAGACCCTCAGCCATGCTCAAGTTGCCGGAACTGGTTGTCTCACATCATTTGCTGAGGAATCTGCAAGAAAAGGTAATGTGGAGTTGTGGTGGGTGCTGAGTTTTACCTGGGTCATGTTGAATTTAAGGTAAGAATGAAGAGGAGTGGGGAAACTAATTCCAGGTGTAAAGGTGTAGTATGGGTTTATGTATGTTGGCCGGGAGGTCAGGAGAAATTTGGGAGAAATCAACTCTTTATGTGGTAAATGAAGCCATGAGTATGGTCAAAGTCACCCAGGAAAAAAGCACAGAATGAGGAATCTGGGATTGGCCTAGACCAGGAAAAGTTGGCTGCCCTTCAGGAGGTGGGGGGCAAGGGGAGAGAGAGCATTAGGACAAATACCTAATGCATGCAGGGCTTAAAACCTAGATGACAGGTTGATAGGTGTAGCAAACCACCATGGCACATGTATACCTATGTAACAAACCTGCACGTTCAGCACATGTATCCCAGAACTTAAAGTAAAATTAAAAAGAGAGAGAGAGAGAGAAAGGAAGGATACACAGAGACCGGCAGCTCTTTCTCCGGGAAAACCACGGCACACACAGACATTTGTAATAAGTTCTAACTACGAAGCAAATTAGCTTTCAATACCGGGCCTATTTGAAAGGAATTTAAGGACAGACGCGGTAACAGGGCTCAGCCAACAAAAGTCAGTCTTTGGCCTCCCACAGACAGATGTGCACAGAGTCCCCTGGGGATAGAATAGGCAGGAACCCAGATATGCTTTCTAGGGGTGGGTGCCCATGTGTGCAGTGCTGCCCTTTCAGTTTCTTCAGGAAAGAAAACCAAGCTTTGAGTGTCAGTGTTAGTCAAAGGCTGGGCCTCTGCTCCAGGAGATGAAAGTGGCAGCTTGGAAATAATCACATGTGATAATCCCCAGGAGGAAGCCAGCGACAAGGCAACTGGCAGAAGTCTGTTGCCTCAGTAACATCTTCCCGAGTAGCCCAAGGTGGGATATATTTGCTGTTTAGACTGTTGCCCCACCTCCAAAAATCATTTTTCTCTCTTCCTCTTTCTCTACCTTTATTTCTCCCCACTTGTTTAATTTATTTTATATATATATATAATATAAACTAAATATATATATATTTATATATATATAATTTATTATATATATAATATAAACTAAATATATATATATATAATATAAACTAAATATATATATATATATATATATATATATTTAGTTGCCTATTTGGTATTACACATTCAAATCTTGAATTACCCAAGATTATTCTTTTACTGTTTAGCAAATGTAACAGAAAGACTTGGGATTTCTGATTTCTGATTGTTTTAAATATTCGGCTGAATACAAATTGAAATGATTTTTAACTCCCCTTGTTCTTTTGATTGGCTAAAAGCGACTTCAACAGGTTGTTTTAATTAACTAATTCAGTACTTTTATAATTGTAGCTTGTTCTTAATACCTTTATTGTCCTTTCTTCTCGATTTCTTTCCTTTTAAATTTCTTGTACTGTAAACCACCAACATTCTTTTTCAGAATAAAATAATGGTTATAGTAATACTATTCATATACTTAAAATAGTAGTAGTAATAAACTAACATTTATTGATCTTTTACTATGGGCAGGCCATAGATTTTCATTTAATTCTCCCTACCACTGTGAAGTGGGTACAGTACTGCTGTTATCCTCATTTTCTTGATAAGGAGACCAGAGCACTGAATGTTGAGAAACGTGCCCCGGGTCATGAAGCACCAAAGCAGAAGAGCTGGGACTTGAATCCATGGAGGCTGCAACCAGAGTCCCAACTCTAAGCCCTGTGCTATAGTGATAGGCCTGTGGACCAGTCCAGCTTTTTAGCTGAGGAAACCTTGTTTCAAGTTAGAGGCTGAAGAGAGGAACCACAGCCAGTTTCAGAATGAAGACTAGGGCCCAGGACCACTTTCTCTCAGTCTCCTACCCTATTTTACCAAAATTTTCTCTCAGTATAGCTTTGTCCTACCCTTACATAAGAATAGTGATAGTTTTTTATGTTAGTATTTCATGTATAATTTTCTTGTTTGTATGAGAAAGACATTTCTTATGTGTGGAAGAAGAATAGATGCGTTTTTGTTTTTTATGACTGGAGATTTTTGAGCTTTTAAGGCTGCTGCTTACTGGAAGCTGTTGCATTAACCATTATTGATGTGTACAGTAAATGTTAGGAAAAATACCAAATCACATTAATCATGGGTCTTCCAGTTGTCTCCCAGCTGAACATGTTTGGTGGCTAATACAAGCACATCGACCTGTAGAGAGCTTCATGAAAGATTAATCTGCAAAACAGCTACCATCGAAGTGGGAAATAATTGGAAATGAGCTCAAACCTCAGTCCAGCTAAGAGATTTTGAAATTTTATTTTTTCAACGCCTGGTTGTTGAGGGAACAGTATGTTTATAGTAAAGTAGACTTTTATTAGTCCATCTTAATATAGACCTGATTAACATAGATCTTCATACAATAATTGTATGTTTAATGAAAATTGAATACCTTTTCTCAACTATTATCAAAACATTCTAAAGATTAAAAATAGAAAGTAAAAAGTTATATATTTTTTGTCTCACCATCTTTATCCTACCATCACCTTATTTTAAATATATGGTTTTTAAGAGTCAAATAATTGTTGATATATTCTGGCCAATCATTGGGAAAAGTTTTTTTTTACAGTGATTATACATTTATTAACTTATCAAACTAGCTCATTAGGTGCCATGATGTTTTTCTTTCTTATTTTTTTCTGAAGACTTCATTTTTTTAGAGCAGTTTTAGGTTCACAGCACAATTGACAGGAAGGCGCAAAGATTTCTTGTGTACCTTCTACCCATGATGTTTTTAAAAGTCAATATTCCAATTAGTACACTTTAAATACAAAAGACTGAAATGACATTAGTACTTCATAGCATATTATATGCATTTTTAGATACATTAAATTATCTCTGGAACTCTTCCTATGAATAGCAAATATATGTACATATACATATATATGTGATTCATTTGTGTGTCTTAGGTAAATGTTACCATACTCTAAGCTTACATATAGTAGTTTTAATGGTAGTAAGATATTTTGAATAAATGCATGAGAAGGAAGGAATGCAAGTGATAGTTAATGATATTGTCATTTTTTCCTAGCTAAAAAAAGTCCAGGCTGGGCGTGGTGTCTCACGCCTATAATCCCAGCACTCTGGGAGGCTGAGGCAGGTGGATCATTTGAGGTCAGGAGTTTGAGACCAGCCTGGCCAACAGGGTGAAACCCTGTCTCTACTAAAAATACAAAAAAATACACAGGGGTCTCATGATGTCACCCAGGCTGGAGTGCAATGGCGCAGTCATAGCTCACTGCAGCATCGAACTCCTGGGCTCAATTGATCCTACTGCCTTAGCCTCCCAAGTTGCTCGACTACAGGCACATGCCATCTTGTCTGTCTAGTTTTTTGTTTGCTTTTTTAAATAGAAACTAGGTCTTGCTTTGTTGCCCAGGCTCGTCTAGAACTACTGGCTTTAGGTGATCTCCCGCCTTAGCCTCCCAAAGTGCTGGCATTACAGGCATGAGCTACAATGCATGGCCTGAATACAATCTTTAAAAGCATCTTCTTCCTATTTAGACTATTTAGATTAATACACACTGTGTGCCATTATTTGGTACTTTGTACAAAGCCAAACCGAACAAGCAACCTGTGTAGATGTTGTAAGCAATTTGGTCGTCAAATTAGTTTACATTTAAAAAAAAAAAAAACTCCCTGCTACCTGCATACCAACCTGAAGTTTCCCTTACCTGTGGGCCATTCTCACCTCTATCTTAGAGTTCCTCCTTGGACTCAAGCTCTCCCTATACTCCCTCCTATTTGGAAGCCTTTGCATCTGGGCACGGTAGCTCAGGCCTGTAACCTTAGCACTTTGGGAGGCCGAGGCGGGCAGATTGCTTTAGGTCAGGAGTTCGAGACCAGCCTGGCCAGTGTGGTGAAACCCTGTCTCTACTAAAAATACAAAAAATTAGCCAGGCATCATGGTGGGTGCCTGTAGTCCCAGCTATTTGGGAGACTGAGGCAGGAGAATCACTTGAACCCAGGAGGTGGAGGTTGCAATGAGCAGATATGAGGTCACCGCACTGTAGCCTGGGTGACAGAGTAAGACCCTGTCTCAAAAAAAATAAAAAGAAAAAGAAAAAAAGAAAAGAAAGAAAAAAAAAGAAAAGAAAAGAAAAAAGAAAGCATTTGCTCCATCATGAAAGGGGCCAGCACATTGGCAGTCATTCCTCTTCCTCTCTCCCAAAGCAGTTCCCCTCCATGTACGGCAACAAAATATTATTTTCCAAGTATGCCAACGCTTTGCTGTTTAATCCTCTGGACTTTCACTAGAACCTAAAGGGTGGCTTTTCTGGCTACCACCTTATTTCAAAAGGACTATTACTCTCCTGTCATTCTTGATTCACACCAATCACAGCCAGCAACTTACAGGTACAAATCTTTGTGTGCTGTTATTTTACCTGGAGTCACTGGGGGTTTTTGCTTGTCAGAGAAGTCAGCATTTCCAAGAGTGGAGAGGAGAGGAAAGAATAAATTATTTTGCATTGCTCTAAAGTGGTTCAGATTTACACAGAAAGAATTCAACATCAGCCATATCACCTGCAGTTCACAGTTATTATCAACTCAGACTGAAAATGTGCAGGTGCTTGCCTAGTGTGAAAAAAGGTGCACTTCTTTTGCTAAGGAACAAGCTGTGCTTGTCACTGTTTCTGAATTTGACTCTGGGCACTCTCAGGTTAGCCTATTGAAGAAGCCACTCACTGATCAGAGGCAGAATTCAGCATGCTTCCCACAGAGAACCATTTGCTCATGTTCTGCCCAAATCACAAGTCACCCTGCTGGGATGTCTGAAGGCGCAGATGGAAAGACAATGCAGGACATGTGAACTCAAGGGAAAGTGAGATAATTCCCAATAAATCCAAGGTTTTGATTGTGTAGGTCTTCTAAGGCCTATTAATGGCAGTTGGCAGAAAACTTCAATAGATTACTGACACCAGGTGGTTAGCAACATTTCACTTTTCAGCACAGAATTCTTTGATTTTTTTTCTTTGTTTTGAGGTTAGCTGATTTATTTATTTTTATTTAGGTAAAAATCACATAAGATTCACCATTTTAACCATTTTACAAAATACAGTTTATAGACTTTTAGTACTTAGGACTTTTTTTTGGAGAGGGGCACGAGGGTTAGGGTCTCACTTTGTCACCCAGCCTGGAGTGCAGTGGCGCAATCTTGGCTCACTGCAACCTCCGCCTCCCAGGTTCAAGCGAGAATTCTTTGAATTTTAAAGCACTAAGGCCATGAAGCACCTTAGCAATCATTTAGTCTATCCCTATTAATTGTACAGATTATAAACTTGAGGCCAAGTGAGGCCCTTACTTGCCTGAGGTCTGTATAGCAGTAGAGCCAGAACTCCTGACCTTCAGTACTATTGTCTTTCTACTAGTTCAAGTCCTATAATATGATTACCAAGTATATATTTTGTCTCTACAGAAGATGATTATTCACCTGGGAAAAATCTACAAGCTTCCAAATATTTCAGTGCCCATCCAGTCTTATCCAAGGGAGAAGCAGACCAAGTCTCAAGACTGACCATTATGCTTGTAATGGTGGAAATGACTGATATGTTTGGATAGGTGCCATTACATGTTCTACGTAACTAACCAAGTTCTCATTTCTGATTCCATGGTCACTGGGCAACAGTATTTTTATAGTTTGGCCTGTTGTGTAGGCCTGCCTATGGGAAGAAAATATACTAATGGTGCTGAAGGGAATATTTCAGTCTGTATGATAATTAAATTTTTCATGACATTTTTAATAGGTTGGTATTTAGGTTTTATCTTTTAAAAGGCATCCTAAGGCAATAATTGTATTTTCTACAGAAATTCTATTGTACTAAAATGTTTATATAGTTAAAACTTCTTCCTTTTGGTAGGGTATATGAGTGAATCTGAAAGATAGCATTTCAATAATTAAAAAAGAGGACTCTCCACAAATGTTTCTTTGAAATGATTATTTCTTTAAAATTGTTTTTCTGTCTTAATTGGATGTTTAAGCCAAAATACGGGTCATGAAAATAATGCTACAAATCTTTTGAAGTTCACAAACTTTATTTCATGCTATTATCTAGATAGCTGAAATATATTTGAGGTATCTTTATGCAGATTTATAAACTTACAATTATATAGTTTTACAATCCAGGTAACCAAACATATGTAACACTCTCAAAATAGCATCCAATCATATGCTACTATAATTTCCATTACTCTTTGTGAACATTCTCGTAAGTTTATAGTTCACTATTTCAGATTACCTTTGGTCCAATGTCAAATTTATTGATATAGGGAGAAGAAAGGAAAATGAAGTTAAAATACTCTTCTACATTTTACTGTTGCTTAATCTATATAGATAGTGACTGTGGCTATTTCAAATAAGCTTTAATGAACTTGCATAGAAGTGCCTGCTTTCCATTAGTTGGGAAATGAGACAATCTTTGAAATTAACAAGATAAGATTGTGAAACATACATACACTACATTGTTGACATTTCAGAAGTGAGTACTGAACTGGGAAATGCAGGTTGTAGTGTATGCCATCTATGAGAAAATGCTTAAGTTTTTTTTTATTATTATTTCAGTTCTGTCTTAGTCAGCTCAGACTGTTATAACAAAATACTATAAACTAGGTGGCTTAAACAACAGAAATTTATTTTCTTACAGTTCTGAAGCTGGAAGTCTGAGACCAGGCTGCCACGAGCATGGCCAGGAGCTGGTGAGGGCCCAATTCCTGGCTTATAGACAGCCACCTTCTCGTTGGATGCTCACACAGCCTTCCCTTGGTGACTGGAAAGGAAAGAGATCACTCTCTCTTCCTCTTCTTATAAGGCCATGAAACCTATCAGATTATGACCCCTCCATTATGGCATTTAACCCTTAATTACCTCCCCAAAGCCCTGTCTCCAAATGTAGTCACATTTGGGGGTTAGATCTTCAACCTGTGAATGGACAGGGAGGGTAAAATTGTCCTCAGCAAGTTCTTTGCTATGTAAGATGCCAGCTCCAGCTGCTATATTCTATAGTCTTAAAACTGATTAGACAATAACATCAGTTTTGACTTCTCAATACATTTTTCCCAACATCTTTTGCTAGATTTTCCCTGGAAGAATCATTTATAATTCTCATTGCATTAAACTGCTCCTCAGAGGACAGATGCCAATCTCCAGCATTTAATAAGGTTTATATGACTTTCAACAGCCTTGTAGCACTCTATTTGGTGGGCTTAACACAATTTGATTCTAAAAAATATATTAAAACTGTATCTCTAATAGTCTTTTTTTTTTTTTTTTTTCCTGTGACAGAGTCTTGCTCTGTCGCCCAGGCTGGAGTGCAATGGCGTGATCTTGGCTCGCTGCAACCTCTGCCTCCCAGGTTTAAGCGATTCTCCTGTCTCAGCCTCCTGAGTAGCTGGGATTACAGGCTCATGCCACCATGCCCAGCTAACTTTTGTATTTTTAGTAGAGACAGGGTTTCATCATATTGGCCAGGCTGGTCTCGAACTCCTGACCTCAGGTGATCCACCCACCTCGGACCCCCAAAGTGCTGGTATTACAGGCATGAGCCACTGTGCCTGGCCTGTCATTTGTTTGTTAATCTCCAAATATTAGCCATAATTCTGCAGGTGTGGTCCCGCAACTGACTTGCACCCCAATAATATATTTATCAATTTGAGTATTTTTTGCATGTGGACATAAGAAATCACTAACAGACATAACAGAGATGAACATAGACTGAATATGTTTATAACAATTTTGCCTTTACGGACATGTGTACATTTTACTATGAGACACAGCTTATAATTTTACTATTCATTTAAAACATTTACTAATGATTTAAGATGTAGGTGCCAGGCAATGAGCTAGCTGCTGGGTACACTGTGGGAAAAAATGTACTTTTGCTATTAGGCGTTTACTGTTTCAGGCAAAACAGTCCAAAACGCATGAAGTAGTGCATCAAGATCTGTGAGAAGAATCTCCATAGCTTAGAGTCAAAGGACCAGGAAGAAAGCTAACACAGACTATGAGGCTTTGCACTGAATGGCACTTCTAAGGGTCTCTTTCAAAAGCATTTTCTTCCTCCCACGAAACATAAAGATCACAAGGGATTATAACATGTGCTTAAAAGCATTGGAAGAAAAACTATATACGTAAGTTGTATTTGTGAACTTGTGATACCCATTAACAACCCCTTTCTAAAAGAATATTTTCAATTGCTGCTTTTATTTCATAAGCAAAAAAAAAAGTTCAAAGAAAATTTCAAAGATAAATATAAATGATGACATATTTGAGGTCTTGAGGTGACTATTTTTCATCAGTGCCCCTTTTCTGGTGCTGAAGTTTTTATCTTCCACTCTGTCCCATAATGGACAATTAAAGAGAGAATTTTAGATTAAGATCTGAAGTTAATCTATTCACTTCTCTCCATGTCCTTTTCCCTCCCCAACCTTACTCAGAGTTCAGATTAATTCACTTCCTCAGGGACACTTTCTCTAAGCCCTCAGACTAAGTCAAGGCCCCTCAGATGTAGGATTGCCAGAAAAAAATACAGGGCATTCAGTTCAACCGAACTGTTTGTTTGTTTGTTTGTTTCTTTGTGTGAAATGGAGTCTCCCTCTGTTGCCCAGGCTGGAGTGCAGTGGTGCGATCTCGGCTCACTGCAACCTCTGCCTCCCAGGTTCAAGCGATTATCATGCCTCAGCCTCTTGAGTTGCTGGGATTAAAGGCACGCACCATCTAATTTTTGTATTTTTAGTAGAGACGGATTTCACCATGTTGGCCAGGCAGGTCTTGAACTCCTGGCCTCAAGTTATCCGCCTGCATCTGCCTCCTAAAGTGCTGGGATTACAAGTGTGAGCCATTGCACCTGATGGGGTACAACTGAACTTTGGATAAGCAACAAATAATTTTATGGCAGAAGTATATTTTATACGTTGCATGGAACATACTCTATACTAATTATTTTATTGTCTATCTAAAATTCAAATTTCACTGTGCATTCTGTATTTTATTTGCTAAATCTGGCAACCCTACCTAGGTATACAGTTTCACAGAAACCTATGCTTTCCTTCATTGTAGCCAGCAGATCTTGTAGTTTAATATTTTTAAGGTCCTTGAACTCCATGTGTTTCCAAAAGGCCAAAATTACCTTTAAAGCTTTTTTTTTTTAGCTCATCATTATATTCTTAGTACCTAATCTAGTGCCTGGCCTACATAAGTATTTGTTGCGTAAAGTAATAAATATCTGAATGGATGATAAACAAATACTTGGATAATAAACAAATAGTCAGTGCATATACATTTTATCTTTTACGTGCATGCTGGTGACTATTTTTCAACTCTAGTACAAACTTTTTTTACTGATCTTTAAACCTTTCCTTAGTATTGCCAGTGTCTGTTTTATTCTGCATTAACTCCCACACAGTTTGGAATGCTGTTTCCTCAGCTACTGTTGCATTTTCCATATCATTTGCCCCCTTTCCATCATTGTTTATGTCCATCTCATATATGCTACTTCCTTCTTAAATGCAGCTCCATAATATAACCTCATTATGCCTTTTAGTACTTGTGTCACTTCTCTTCTATGTTGGATCATTATTTGTTGCTTTTCTCATTCTTTACATCAGTGTTTTGAAAACTTGCATGTTTCCTAAAACTGCTGAAGTATGAAAACCTGTGCAAGACTATCTGCCTTATGAGGCAGGAGTTTATCTTTTGTCTCCTCTAATCTCCAAATATTAGAGATAGCAGCTATTCTACACATTTTGCTGAATTGAATTTATAATGGTAAAACTTACATAGAATTTTAGGGATGGAGAGGGTCATGTAGGAAGGCCATTTCTTCAAATCTGTTATTTAATGACAAGAAATGTATAAGAACAAGAGCTCTTGGCTTTTAGTCTAGTGAGTGTGTCTTCTACCAACCATATGTGTCAAATGTGGTCTTTGTTTCTACGGTTAAATAGATGCAGATGAACATTTAACCATACCAGGCCTGTTTTTGTCGTTACCGTTTGTTTTGTTTCATTTGTTTTGCTATTTAATTCTGTGAAGGAGGGGTTCGAAATGGAAGAATATTGTTCCTTTAAAAGTTAAAAGTCTGTTTGAAAACTGTATACTTCGTAGAGTGAGAGTAACAGACAATGAAGATTATTCTCATAGGCAGAAAACAGTACCCTTAAAATATGTATTCATATATGTATATATATAATATTGAGTAGTTCCTACACAATTGTAGCTGCAACTGTTCTAAGCATAGCCTAAGAACTTTTTGCAATGTTGATTTTACTGTCTATAACATGGTCATTATGTATTGCTGTAAAACACTAATGTTAAGATGTCTCATAAACTAGCTAAATTAGGGCCATGTGTCTGTTACTTGAGTAAAATAAACTAGTGCTACTGAGTCTAGTAGTAACTAAGTACTTGGCAGTGTACAATTCTTAATCTTGGTGTCTAATTATATTACAAATGATAGATAGTTGTGTTCTTTTAGTAAGCTTTTGGAAAAATGGCACTTTTTTTTAGTTCATTGCTTATCTAATCAATTTTATGGAAGAAAATATTTAGGAAGAAATCATATAATGATTAAAATCTACATATCATGAAATTTTGATCCTTAGCCTACCTGTTTTGAAAAGATGAGAATTTCTAGATACCAATTCGTTTAGATTATAAGATGTCAATTACTGTTTAATTGCTTTTTTTGAATCTAAGCATAAATTATTTTAGATGGTCTATTTATATTTATCTGACAAAATCAAGTATAGCAGCACTGTCCCCAAAATTGTTAAAAATGAAGACACTCGGTCGGTACAAATCAGGAGCAACTAAGATGATTTTTTTAATTATATTGAATTTCTCGCAATACAATTAGTTTTCCTCAAAATGACTGGCCTTATCATTAAATTGATAGGCATGTGGTCAAAGAGAGTAGAAGTTACCTATGCCTGGATTTCATTTAGAGAGCCCAATGCCTTGTTCATAGTAAGCCTTTAATAAATGTTTGCTGATAGCTTTAACATTTTAAAACCATCTATTCCAACTGCACATAGTCAACAAGTATATTTTTTAGAATGTGCTGGCATAGGTTGACTCTGCTTCAATTTATATGGTCTTAAAATATGAACTGTAAACTGTGAAATAGCTTTTCTTAATGTAATTTTGTTTAACCCTCTGAGTTGCTACCAAAACTTGGTAGCATGATAAGGTCTCTTTTTCATGAAGCTCATGAACATTCTTTTTGTTTTTTAATACCTGAATTTTGCTCTTTTGTCTTTGATCGTTTTGTTGTTGTTCTTTTTTTGTATTTTTGTTTTCAGGATTCTTGTGAGTCTCTAGGATCACTGTAACATGGACTCTTGAATCCTGGATGGGAAGTCCTTTTTGACCTCAGGGAGTCATTAGCTCCTTTCTTCTTCTGGGCTGTCATCTCTGTGGCTGATTGACTTTTCTCTGGATTTAGCCATTCCTCTAGTCCCTGGCTCTTCTCTTAGTTTGATAATGATTGTTAGAGTCCCTGATGAAAGTCTTACTCAGGCAGACTCTTTTCTGACCCAACTTAGTCCCTGTTATTGATTTGGATCTAGTCCTTCAAATCTCAAGCAAGCCTCAGGTTTCCATCTTGATCTATCCTGGGACTTCACTTTTGCGCCTATTGATAATTCTCTGGCAATACAACTCCTCTGTCATTCAGTGGCAAGGAGTCAATTAACTTCTGCTGGTGACCTATCATTTGCTAACTGTTCTTTCAATTACTTCCCTCTTTAGTCACTTGCCCAAATGGGTGGCTTAATCTTATTTCACTCAGGATGGTACTGAATTTCACAGAGGTTAAGTGAGTTAGCAAGGAGTAAGGCTAGCTTGAAGCAAGCTCATAGTTGGAACCTAGGTGTTTCTGCTTTCAGAGCAAAATGGGACTTCCTACATTGTGGAATATTTTGTTCATTTGTTTGTTTCCATAATCTATGAGCAGCTGAGCTATTGGACCTCTACCCAGACTTACAGAATTAACATGCTGTCTTGCAGAAGGTGCCCATTAGTGAAGTAGTCACCGTTGCTGCCTTCTGCCATTTAAAGGAAATTGCATCTCCCTTCAAAGTAACTTTTAGGTTAGAGCTGCATGAATTTCAGATAAACTATTTAAATACTGCAAGCATAAGTCTTAAACAAGGGCTAGTTTAGGTCATCTACCCAGAAATTTTATTTCTTTGTGAGGTGTGTTGCCACTATAAAAGCAGTGCTGGATTGGATGAGAATGGATTGGCTCCCCACAGGCACTGTCAACTATGAGGCAATTCAACTTGGAATGTTAACCTTCTCAATTATGCTTTGGAATAACATCAGAACTCAATTACAAAAAAAAAAAAAAATAGACACACATATGTATTAGCTACATATGTATGATACTACTTTCTCTCATTTTTTAAGTATGGAATAAGAGCCAATTTAATACTTATTTACTGAGTTAACCAATTCTGAACTTCTTAATTGCTTTAGATCATTCTGACTCTGAAATTTCCAGCCAATTAGAGGTCAGAAGCTGCTCAACTGTTAAGCTGTACACTGGATACTTAAGGAGAAGGTGTCCCTATCTGACATGCTGTCAGGGGCAAATCAATGCTGATCAATATTGGCCATCTAGAGTACTGATGGCTTACTAACTCTGCCTGCCTTGTATATTCTTTAATTCATAACAATGCAGAGAGGGGGAAATCACTTGAAGCTGGAATGGGTTTGGGAGCTAGGCTTTCTCAACTATCTCACCTAGTAAACAATCCACTTAGAAATCTAAGTCATCAGAAGCTAGAGATCTGCTGCTAACAGCAATAGCAACAGCAGCAGCAGCAACAAACAAACCCAAGAATAGCCCAGCAAGCATCTTGCCTTATAACCTAAGCATTTTTTGCACAGCTGATTAGATTTATACTTACTTTTTGATAGAATTGTAAACCAACCTTTTCAAATTTAACTTTATATTTGTGGTTAAATGGAATCTAATCAAGCTTTTAAGTTACTATTCAATTATTTATTTAACCAGCATTCTGTATTGCAGACTGATGGATCCTGAAATAACACTGGCATCATGCATTTGGATTTTCACATATTACCTTTCCTGTGTACAGAATCTTAAAATCAAAATGGTACTTATAAATCTGACTATCTACTTGGTTTAGGAATTTTCCTTATCATATTCCAAACAAGTGGCTAACCATCTCCATGAATACTTTCAATAATGAAATTCTTATGACATAAGAAGCCAACCCATTTCTTCTTTCAACAGCTGTCTGATTATTAGAAAGTTCTTCCTTTCTTTTGCATTTATCGTTATTTAAAGCAAGTTCAATCATCCTGGATCACGCTTTTGAGACAGACGATAAATTAAAAATGATAGGAGAAACATATAAAGTATTTTAATTTAATAAGTTCAAAGTGTTAGATAACATTGGGGGCAGACAAGGAAAGTAGAAAGTATAAAATAGGGTCTTTATTCTCAGGAACCTTAGAATTCAATTAAAGATACAATAATTGTAATAAGTCAGTAGAGGCTGGGAGCAGTGGCTCAGACCTGTAATCCCTCCAAGTGCTTTGGAAGGCTGAGGCAAGAGGCTCACTTAAGGCCAGGACTTTGAAACCAGCCTGGGAAATATAGTGAGACCCCATCTCTACAAAAAATTAAAAAGTTATCCAGGTGTGGTAATGTATGCCTGTTCTCCCAGTTAGTTGGGAGGCTGAGGTGGGAGGATTGCTTGAGCCTGGGAGGTTGAGACCATGGTGAGACGAGGTTGTGCCACTGCACTCCAGCATGGGCAACAGAGTGAGACTGTCTCAAAAAAAAAAAAAAAAGTCAGTAGAGCCTACAATTAAAAATAAAAAGTAGGCTGGGCACGGTGGCTCATGCCTGTAATCCCAGCACTTTGGGAGGCCGAGGTGGGCGGATAACGAGGTCAGGAGATTGAGACCATCCTGGCTAACACGGTGAAACCCCATCTCTACTAAAATACAAAAACATTAGCCAGGCATGGTGGGGGGCACCTGTAGTCTCAGCTACTCGGGAGGCCGAGGCAGGAGGATGGCGTGAACCCGGGAGGCAGAGCTTGCAGTGAGCTGAGATCGCGCCACTGCACTCCAGCCTGGGTGACAGTGCGAAACTCCATCTCAAAAATAAATAAATAAATAAATAAAATAATAATTAAAAAATAAAAATATAAAAAGTAATTATGTAGACATTGCATGCTACAGGGCTTATGGAATAATCAGTAACACATTGTTATATGTGGTGAAGCTTGTGTTGGTCCTTGAAGGACAGAAATGATTTTGGCAGGTTGATTAGAAGGCTTATATTTGCAAGAAACTGAGAAAAATGACGTGGCTGGACTCAGTGGCCTACTTCATTTTATTTTATTTTTTTTATAATTTTGCATTTCCTCACTTTCATTTTATTTTATTTTATTTTTATTTTTATTGAGACAGGGTCTTACTCTGTCCGAAGGCTGGAGTGTAGTGGCACAGTCTCAGCTCACTGCAACCTCAACCTCCTGGGTTCAAGTGATTCTCCTGCCTCAACTTCCTGAGTAGCTGGGATTATAGGGACCTGCCACCACATCCAGCTAATTTTTTTGTATTTTTAGTAGAGAGAGGGTTTCACAATGTTGGCCAGGCTAGTCTCGAACTCCTGACCTCAAGTGATCAGCCTGCCTTGGCCTCCCAAAGTGCTGGGGTTACAGGTGTGAGCCACCGCTCCCAGCCCCTCAGTGGCCTACTTTAAAAAGAAGTAAGAAATAATGAGTATAGATAAGACTGGAACAAATTATAGATAAAAGGCTTTGAAGGTAGTTTGCCCTAGGATCATTGAGGAAATATGTAATGCTTTCAATACTAAGGGAAGACACTACTTTACAATTTTGTTTAAAATAATGTAGAGTTGAGTTGTCCAATATGGTAGCAGCTAGCCACAAGTGGTTACTGAGCACTTGAAATGTGACTAGTCTGAATTGAGATGTGTTATAAGTATAAAATGCATACTGGATTTCAAAAATTTAATTAGAAAAAAAGTAAAATAACTTCTAATACTTGTTATGGTGACTATATTTTAAAATGATATGTTCTGGATATATTGTGTTAAAAAAATTACAATTAATTTCACCTGTTTCTCCTTTTTATATGGCTAATAGAAAAGATAAAATTAAACCTTTGGCTTATATTGTTTTTCTGTTGGGTAGCACTACTATAAAAAGTGTCAGTCTCTTATTTTTAGTTGTATGCTACCTGAGTCTATCAGTTGCAGCCTAGGAGATAACCGAGAAACTCAGATGGTAATTTTGATCTGGCATTTGTTCCTTTATATGTAAGTTTTGTAGATACTACTGTTTACTCTGCAACTGTCTATAAATTCAAAGTAAAGTAGCGTGCTAAGAAAATTACACAATTTATCACATATGAAGTTTTCAAAAGCCTAGGATGTAGGAAACAGTCTAGAAAAAAAAATTTAAACTATGTGCTTATGTGATATTATTGTTTAATTGTCCGTGTACGTACAGTCTATTACTGCAGTTATTTCTCAACAGACTGTTCCAATGGTGGGTGGAGAGTAAAATTGACAGTTCTTCTAATTTGATGTATAAATCTTTAAAAAAATATACATAAAAATACCAGTTCATTGCAGAAAATAAGAATAGACAAATATGTTTTATATATACAAACACTTATTGTTCTTATTATAAATGAAATAACCAACGTTAATCATTTGTTACTAGTCAGTGGGTTATTGGCCCTCAGAAAATAGAAATTGACCAACAGTCTAAGATGGGATTGAGCAAGGCAGTTTATTGGGGCTTTCAGCTTGAGCAGAAGGGGAGACGACAACAGGAGGAAAACCTGCAGCTGGCTCCTTGGAAGCAAACTAGTCTTGGTTTTTATTCTTCTCTGGGCCTCTTCCAGGTGACATCATCACATATTTGGAGTGGACCATTGGCTGTACCATGCCTCATTAGCATCTTAAATCTCTACCCAGGCCTGTGATTTTTTTTTTAAATTTATTATACTTTAAGTTCTGGGATACATGTGCAGAACGTGCAGGTTTGTTACACAGGCATACATGTGCCATGATGGTTTGCTGCACCCACCAACCTGTCATCTAGGTTTTAAGCTCCACATGCATTAGGTATTTTTCCTAATGCTCTCCCTCCTCTTCCCCCCCACCCCCCGACAGGGCCCAGAGTGTGATGTTTCCCTCCCTGTGACCATGTGTTCTCATTGTTCAACTCCCACTTATGAGTGAGAACATGTAGTGTTTGGTTTTCTGTTCCTATGTTAGTTTGCTGAGAATTATGGTTTCCAGCTTCATCCATGTCTCTGCAAAGGACATGAACTCATCCTTTTTTATGGCTGCATAGTATTCCATGGTTTATATGTGCAACATTTTCTTTATCAAATCTATCATTGATGAGCATTTGGGTTGGTTCCAAGTCTTTGTTATTGTGAATAGTGCTGAAATAAACATACATGTGCATGTATCTTTATAGTAGAATGATTTATAATCCTTTGGGTATATACCTAGAAATGGGATTGCTGGGTCAAATTGTATTTTTGGTTCTAGGTCTTTGAGGATCTTTTCTTTTGTTTTTTTTTGAGACGGAGTCTTGCTGTGTCGCCCAGGCTGGAGTGTGATGGTGCGATCTCGGCTCACTGCAACCTCCACCTCCCAGGTTCAAGCGATTTTCCTGCCTCAGCCTCCCAAGTAGCTGGGACTACAGGCATGCACCACCACACCTGGCTAATTTTTGTATTTTTAGCAGAGATGGGGTTTCACCATGTTGGCCAGGTTGGTCTCAAACTCCTGACCTCAGGTGATCCACCCTCCACCTGCCTCAGCCTCTCATAGTGCTGGGATTACAGGTGTGAGACACCACGCCTGGCCTGATTTTTACAATTAAAATGAAACAAATGTTAAGTTAGGACAAGGTAAGTTTCTACACACAAATGCATTTGAGGAGAGTCTTTCAAAAAGTGCAAGGTTATAGAGCTGAGAGCAACCATAGTCACCACAGTATGTAAAGAAGTGGGAAAGGATCCCTTGTCCTGTGTTCTCTGTCTCAGTTTTGGTGTGTGCATGTGTGTATGTGTGTGTGTGTGTGTTTGTGTGTGTGTATAATAAATGTGGGATCAAGCAGTTTTATAATTAGCTTTTGTCACTGAATATATTGTAAACATCTTTCTGGTCCCATAAAGGTACTTTTAAAACAATGGTTTTCAGAGTTCTAGTTTTATTATTGTTGGTACACTTATTTCAAACAGCTTTACTTAGAATCTCAATATATAAAATTGATAAAACAAAGCTAGTCTGGCAGAAGCAAAGTTGGAGTACTGGAACTCTATCTGCCTGGCCAGCCCATTATATCTTACTTCATGGTCATCTAAGGCACTGCAGAGCACAGTCTAAAAATGACTAATCTACCACTATTTTTTTGATGTGGCTGTGTTTTATTCGATGTGTTAATTTTTGTCTAACATGATATAAATGTTTCTCAATTCATAGTTTCCCTTCCAGTTTTGACAGTTATTATTGTCTTGGTACGTTAAAATGTTTACCTTTTATGTAATCTTGTTTTCTCAGGCTATCACTGACTGTCAGTAAGCATGATAAATAACCCGGAGAAGTGAAGTTTCAAGATTAATACTCTGTTTTAGAAAAGGGACTATCACTCCATTCATATACAAATACATAGCTATTTAAAGAGAGAATAGCTTCCAGTCTTTAGTAGTTTTGCTTCCCTGTGACCACTTATTCATTTATTAAGTCTATTGCTTGACTTTTCGTTTTTTTTTTTTTTTTTGAGACCAAGTCTTGCCCTGTCACTCAGGCTGGAGTGCAGTGGCACTATCTCCGCTCACTACAATCTCTGCCTCCCGGGTTCAAACGATTCTCCTGCCTCAGCCTCCCAAGTAGCTGGGATTACAGGCATGTGCCATCACACCCAGCTAATTTTTATATTTTTAGTAGGGAGGGGGTTTCACCATGTTGGCCAGTCTGGTCTCGAACTCTTGACCTCAGGTGATCTGTCTGCCTCGGCTTCCCGTGGTGCTGGGATTACAGGTGTGAGCCACCTTGCCTGGCCAGAACTTTTCAAAAAGATGATTTTAGAGGTAAAGTCAGAGAAATTGAAAAGAGGATCAACAGGCCTGGTGTGGTGGCTGATGCCTGTAATCTTAGCACCGCGGGAGGCTGAAGCGGGTGGATCACCTGAGGTCAGGAGTTTGAGACCAGCCTAGCCAACATGGTGAAATGCTGTCTCTACTAAAAATACAAAAATTAGCCCAGTCTGGTGTGCATGCCTGTATCCCAACTACTTGGGAGGCTGAGGCAGAAGAATTACTTGAACCCCAGAGGCAGAGGTTGGCAGTGAGCCAAGTTCATGCCATTACACTCCAGTCTGGGTTATAGGGCGAGACTGGGTCTCAACAACAACAACAAAAAGATCAACAGGAACCCATTATTTCACCAATTATCTCTTTGTTAAAGTATTTGCTTCATGTTCCAGTGATAATGATGACTTGCTCCTTTTCTTAAACATTTGTGTCTTTAATTAGATTGTTTTTTAACTTTTAAAATAGCATTACTACTAGAACTTTAGCTTTCAATCAGCTTTGCTTAGATGTCAATATAGGCTGTGCCTTCCTTTTTGTTATGGTGGAAATTATTGTTATGCCTATTATTGTTAATGAATGAAAGTGTCCAGCTGAGTATTCTATGTATTTGAAAGTATCTAACTGTGTAAATGGGATTCCACATGGCATCCTGCTGTCCAATCTACTTGAATGAGCTTTGTAGAAAATGTATTTTGGTAGAAAATGTCTGTGAACCCAAGGGCACAGCTGATGATGTGAAAAATGCATATCCAGACAAAGTGAAGAAACAGTATTTTTATGCTTTCAAAGGGGAGTAGTGTTTATTTATTTTTCAAGTTGTGAAAGCCATTGAATGTAGAATGAATATTATTACTTTTTCAAAAAGTGTTTTAATTTTTCTTTCATCGGAATTTATTTTTTTCTTACTATGTACATCCCTAAACATTAAAGAAAAATTTCTCAGGCATGGGAACTATTTTGTTTTGTAGAGTTAATTATACCATTTAAATAATTGTTTAAGATAAAGATATGTGGCTTCTGTCTTTCTAAGACACAAATTGGACATAACATTTACATAGAATTCAAATAGTATTAAACTTTGATTATTGTGGATTATGTTTTTAAAAAAGATTTTTACATAGTAAATAAGCAAGAGAATTTTCACTGAGTTAGTAGTTTTATAGAAGCAGATATAAGAACATGCTATTAACCCCCAAATAGTATTAAACTTTGATTATTAAATTATGGATTGTGTTTTTAAAAAGGATTTTTACATGGTAAATAAGCAAGAGAATTTTCACTGAGTTAATAGTTTTATAGAAGCAGATATAAGAACATGCTATTGACCCTCAGGGATTCAAATCCATGGTCCATGTGGTAGATGAATGTATTTCAAAGGATGGTGAATAAGGAGGCATACTTAATGTGAATCTCCTAGTTTCTCATAATACCTTACAAGATTAAGAGTCACCTACAAGGTCTGGGATTATTATGGAGATCTGTGCATTTCTGCTAGGCATTAGGCTCCTCATATTTGGATAACACATACAAGGGAAGTATTATTACCTAGATGTAGGTGTTTGGGCCCAGTGATAAAGCTCAATGATAAAGCTCTTATTGATTGGGTATACCTGAGACACAGGTGTATTATAAAACATTCAACTATTAGTTGATTTCTTTCAAAGGTATTGGATGTAACTCAATAGTATATTCAATCGACCTTAAATTCTACATCTAAAATATGATGGATAAAATGCAAAATGCCCTCATATAGCCATGAATGCTTACTATTAAACTTAGCTGTTATAGCAATGATAACAATGACTTTTTTTTACCTAGGAGTGTTTAAAAACATTTCCATTATCTAATTCCTTATCTGTGTCAGCCTCTTCCTAGTCCTCTCAACAGAAGAAAACAGTGACTTGCCTCCTTAAAATTGCTACTTAATTATAAACAATCCTTGCTCTCTTTTAGTCTCCCCCTCAAAGAACATTTTTAATATCTGCCAGCAAAGGCTACTTTTCTGAGCTCTTAATTCTTTCTTTTCACAAATGCGATAGCTAGAAGGATCTATATCCTCACAGTGATTCATGCAAAGGTACCTGTGTATTTCCGTTGTATTTTAAGAAGTCAGTGCCATGGAATAGAAAGAATGGGAGGATTCAAGTTTAAAATCTGGTATCCTAGTCCCAACTCTGTCAATGACTAGCTATTTTACTTTAGTTAAATTACTTGTAATAATAATTAGGTTAATCGTTACAGAGGGATGCCATCTCGAATCCATCTTTATTTAGGAAGAAGGTTATAATCTATATGATAATATGACTGTAAGTCAATCAAAATTGACTTTTTGCATGGTTCTTGGAGAAAAATTAGGTCAATAGAATCTTCTATATTGTCTTACCATGTACTTGTAAGGATGTTACGTTATATGTATATTTTTAATTTTTTTAAATTTTTTTATTTTAGAGACAGGATTCTACTTTGTCGGCAAGGCTAGAGCGTGGTGGCACAATCCTAGCTCACTACAGCCTCCAAATCCTGGCCTGAAGTGATCCTCCCACCTCAGCCTCCCAAGTAGCTGGGGCCACAGGTGTGTGCCACCATACACACCTGTGTAATTTAAAAACTACACAGCTAATTTAAAAAAAATTTTTATAGAGGTCTTGCTACGTTGTCTAAGCTGGTCTTGAACTCCTGGTCTCAAGCAATCCACTCACCTGGGCCTTCCAAAGTGCTGGGATTACAGTCATGAGCCACCACACCCAGCCACATTATATATTTTAAAACGATGTAAAATTTGGAAAATACTGATCAAATGCAAAAAAAAAAAAAAAAAGTAAGCATTCTCAGTCCTTTTAATTACTGACCTGTTAATAAAGTACCACCTGGATAATGCTACTTATCTTAGTCTTTGATCTGTTGCTTATAGCAGAATACCTGAAACTGGATAATTTAGAAAAAAAAGGAATTTATTTCTTACAGTTCTGGAGGTTGAGAAGTGTACAAAGTCAAGGGGCTGTACTTAGTGAGGGCCTTCTTAGTGGTGGGAAGTCTCTGCAGAGTCTCAAGGTAGGGCAGGACATCACATGGTGAGGAGACTAGCTTAGATCTCTCTCCTTTTTCTTATAAAGCCACCAGTGCTACTCCCATGATAATCCATTAATCTACTAACCCATTCATCTATTAATCTCTGAATAATTAATCCATTCATGAAGTCAGAGCCCTGATGACTCAATCATCTCTTAAAGGCTCCATCTCTCAATGCTGCCACATTGAGAATTAAGTTTCAACATGTGTTTCAGAGAGGAACAAACATTCCAACCACTGCATTATTGTTCTTGCTTTTTCCTTCAGGATTACAGGCTTTTCCCTCAGAACACAAACAGGAAAAGCCCACTCCTATATCACATAAAACATTCTAAAACATATTTAAACTCAAACTTTTAATTCTTTGTTATGGATCTATTTTTACTGGGTTAGGCAAACTTTAGAGAAACTGCTCATAGTGTTAGTGTAGGGAGTCTCTGAATGCTGGAAGGTTTAAAAGTACAAAGTGAGATCCTCATGCCCTGACTTTTCTTCAGATCGAATAAATAGCTTATGTTTTGGGGAGAAGAATAGACCTGAGAGTATAATTAAGTTGCTGATGCTTTGTTTCCTTGAATTTCCATGAAGTATCAAGGTCAATCTTGCTCTGTGAATGTTTTCTCTCTAAAGAAAGAAAACTGTCAAGCTGGCCCAGGTTGAGGCAGAACTATGCAAAGGATGTAGTATGACCTCTAGTTAGGTAGTTCCCTGGATCTAAATTTCCCTGGCGACACTAATGTGACCGTGTGTGCTTTCCATAGTATGGAAATAGCATGCCCCTTAGTTCATCTTTTTAGTGCCCATCTATTTCCTAAAGTAAGAATTAATGTAATAAGTCAATTTATGCTTACTATTGTCTGAATGTTTGGTCTCCCCCCAAAATTAGGTGTTGAAACCCTAACTCCTAAGTTGATGATATTATGAAGTGGAACCTTTGGGGAGGTGATTAAATCACAAGGGAGCAGCCTTCAAGAATGGGATTAGTGCTCTTATCAAATAGGCAGAGAGCTTATTAGACCCTTTCATCTTGTGTGGACACAGCAAGAAGGCATGTTTCATGAACCAGAAAGTGGACACTCACCAGACACCAGATTGTCTGGCACCTTGATCATGGATGTCTCAGCCTCCTAAACTGTGAGAAATAAATTTCTGTTGTTTATAAGCTGCCCAACTTAGAGTATTTGGTTATAGCAGCTCACATGGACTAAGACAGTGCTAGTGTGTATTAGGAAGGAAGATGGGGAGCACAGCTAGTTTCTTGAATTCCTTTTAGGTATCCTTGCTTTTTAAACCTAACCTTTTAGAGGGTATACCTTAATCCATAGAATGAATCACTGAGGGAAAAAAGAATGCTGAGGGAATTTCAGGAAGCATGATAGACAGTGCAGGAGGTCATGAAATCTGGCCTCACTAGAGCAATTTTCACTTATTTTACACTTCTCTCTTATACAAAACTCCCTTGATTCAGGGAATCTGAGAACTTTGTTCCAATGCTTTTGTGCATCTATTTGTTAGATAGGTATCTGTCCTTAAGCTATCTGTCCTCCTTTTCATTTTTCTAATAATCAAATCTTCTATGATTCAGTCTTAGTTTATCTTGCCAAATTAACCTCTCATTGCTGCTTACTACAGTCTCTCTGCATTAACTTAATTATTCTGCCTGTCCTGTCCAGAGTTGAATTCCTAGTGCTTGGCACTGAGCCTGGTACACAGGAAGTGTATATTTAATTAATAAATTAATATATTACATTTCCATATCTCTGAGTCTTGGCCCATACCATTAACCTCACCTGGAATGTACTTTCCTTCCTGTCTACCTATTTTCAATCTACCTCCATAGTCAACTGAAGTAACACTTTGGTGAAGCTCTCTTTGCATTCAAAGGCTGCCTGTCCATATCATTCAAGTCTGTTTTGCCCCTAAGTATGCTGTTGCCTTACATGATTTTTTTTTTTTTTTTTTTTTTTTTACTTTATTAGTCAGCTCAGGCGGCCATAAAAATATCACAGGCAGGCTGGCTTAAAACACAGGAATTCATTTTTCACAATTCTGGAGGCTGGGAAGTCCCAGATCAAGGTGCCACCCAGTTTGGCTCCCCAATGAGTACACTCTTCCTGGCTTGCAGATGGTCACTTGCTTGCTGTGCCCTCATGTTGCAGTCACACCAATGCACCACAATGTAGCAGTCTCTCGTTGCCCAAGATATCATTCAAAGTTCTTTGTCTCATGGCCAAAAAAATTAAGGAGCTCAGACACCAAGGGTGAGGTTACAGCAAAAGTTTAATAAGTGAAAAAAGAAAGCTCCCCACTGCAGAGAGGAGGCCCAAAAGAGGGTTGCTGTTTCACAGTTAAATACGACGCTTTTATAAAAAAGCAGTGAGGGCTGGGCATCTCATTTGCATAAGGCACACATTTCTGGTATCTCCACCCTGTCCTCCTAGTGCGCATGCAGGCCCTTAGCTTGAGTTAGTTGCTCCATATAGCTTTGTTCTTCTTACTGTGCATGTTTTAGGGGACAGAATTTTCCATTGTGGGCATGTCTGGGAAAGTCTCCTGAGTAGCCTTTCTTGTCTATGTGGCTGTTGGCATATCTTAGGCAAGACCTGCCCCCCAACCATGCCCCACACCATGCAAGTTTCCCTATCTGTGCCTGCAGTTTAATTTTTCAGGCTGTTTTTTGTTTGAAATAATTTTACTGAGGACCCACACTAACCACCTGCCTGACAGGTTTCTTCCTCTTCTCCTACTCCTATGGGGAAGAGAGAGAATGGAAGCAAACTCTCTGGGGTCTCTTCCTATAAGAACACTGATCCTATCATGAGGGCTTCACCTTCACAACCTCATCCAAACCTACTTACCTAGCAAAGATCGCATCTCCAAATACTATCACATTGAGGGTTGGGGCTTTAACATGTAAAACTGGGGTGGGGTGCGGGGAGGAGTTGAGTGTGGAAAAAATTCAGTCCATAGCACCACATAGTTTTTTACTTTGTTCACTCTTTTGTACTTTCCAAATGTTTTGAGGACTGACACCCTTTCTCTGCCTGCTCTGCCGGAAGCCTGCAACACAACAGAAGCCAACTCCACAATAGAAGCCACTTAATTTTAAGTAGTGACTGATTGTTGTGTTTTTCTCATGTTAAACTGTTACACCAACTGTACTGAAGTTTTATATTTATCTGAAAGTCCTTTTTACTGGGAGTAAATAATCCATAGACTTCCTTTAAATGGTTCTCACTAACTGCAATGTAATCAAAATCCTTCAGGAATTTTTCAAATTACACAGATCTCCCCGTTTTCTGCTTCCCCATACCACAAGATTCTCATATGCCAAGATTAGAAGATAGGCGGAGATTGGCGTAAATGCACATATACTCACTGAAATCCAACTCTCCCACCCTCTACCATGGAGAGCTATTTGAAATGAATTCCCAGAAAGACTAAATAGTATGTAGAATTTACTCTCTCTCTCTCTCTCTATATAAATGGTGGAAAAGTGACTTGCAGACTGACAAACACAGGAACTGTTTGGTTTGTAAGAATTTATAGATAAAGGCTATCTGATGACTGGAAATTTATAAATACATTTCAGTAGACTTTTTAGTCTCTTCTCTAATGATTGCTTTCTCTACCTTATGTACATATGCTGGGGGAAAAGGTTTCAACTCTGAATCAGAAGACTTGGGTTTCAGGACAGACTGCTGCTCACTAGCTTTGTGACCTCATCCACATTATGTAATTTCTCTAGCTTTTGAATTTTTTTTTTTAACCTATGAAATCAGGCTGTTAGAACAGATGACCTCCAAAGCTCATGAAAGCTTCAGCATATGAAAATATGAATAGATGATCTCACAAATCAGTAGTTCTGTTTTATCTTCCTTCATCATTTTATTAGAGGCAAAGATGTTAAGAAACTGATAGCTATAGTTTTATTTTTTTGGTGGCAGCAGTGGTATGTTTGCCTGCTATTTTGAAGACATTATAAACCCTCCAGGAAAATTAGCCATGGAGGTGAGAGAGTAGAGAAAATAAAAGACAGATAATCAACTACTTAATAATTGAGAAATGCCTGTATTGCATTCTAGGCTTAAGTCCAGAAATAGATTCATTTCTAGGTAAAGGCATTTTGCTGTTAATTAAAAAAAAAATAAATAAATAAAAAAACGTTTTAAAATGCACTAAATTATTGCTCTAGCAAAAATATCTTCAAAATTGAATCCAGGATTTACATAATTTCACAGAGTATAATATAAATGTAGTTGTTTTCATGAAATGCAGATTTTTGCTGCTTCAGGGGAAAAATATCAGATTTCCAACATACACGCATGGCATTATTACAAAATGCTTGTTTAGATAAAACTGGAGGCAGAATTTTTTAGTTATTTAGTTAGGAAGATTTTTATATCAGGTTTTTCATAAGCTAAGAGTTGTGCTGGCTATATTTTTTGATTACACATATCTATGGAGTTGGCCAAAATTTCAGCAAAATACTTTTTAGCTCTAAGTAGTTCTCTTTGGCTATTTTTTCTTAATTTTAAAATATATGGCTAAAATATATGTTTTATAGAGACCACACATAGAGACAAAAAACATATGGAATGGCAAAACAAATGTTTTGTCCACATTGCAAGTACCTAAATTTTATAGGACATGCTGATGGTCTATAAATTTAAAACTTTTAGCTGAGCTGCCATTTGTTCTTTTAATCAGTAAGTGCTAGGATTGAGCAGTGATAAAATTTGTAAAGAAAATCTTGGGATTTTTTTACCCCCATATGTTTTACATATCCTCGTCAGATAACCCAGGAAGGTATAATGTATTTAAAAGATGAAAAAGGAATGGGGGCTGAGGACATAAAAGATGGTATGAGATTTAACTTTTGAGTACAGAATAGCCCTAGTGAAGTTAACTAGCTTAAACAGTAAAATGCCCCTTTTTTGTCTATTTTTTTGTAAAATGCTTTCAACAGCTAAAACTATTCAACAAAGAAAAATTATTAAGTCTCATAAATAAAAAAATGATGTAACCCACCCTGACTATTAATATGTTATGCCATACTTTAAATTAATTTTGGACATCTTTGATGAACGTAAGTGAAGATATTTGAACATCCCAGGGATAAAAACCTAGGACAAAGGACCAGATCTGGAAAGTTCCTGTCCTTGAAGAGCTTTCACAAACAACTGTTTGTTCTGGGTGATTTCAATATTCACTAGAACAGTGCTTCTCTCTGTAATCTGGAAAGCAAATACAAAAACCTATGCAAGGGTAGCTGTGCAAGATTTGTTTCTTGGTCCCAGATTAAACGCACTGAATCAGAACTCTGAGGGGTAAGGCCTTGAAATCGGCGTCAGAGTGGTTCTCTGAATGATTCTTGTTCACACTTAAATTTTAGAATTACTGCATTAGAGACAGATGGCAGAATCAATTATCTTTTCAAGTTTCAGCTGTCTAGCCTACTACAAATGCATGAAATGAAGTCATTACTGAGTGTCTACATGGTAGAAATTAAGCCAAAATTCAATATTTATATAAAATTATACTTTTTCTTTAAATCATTTACAGTTATTTTCATGGACATATCTAATCTTATATTGAGAGGATTCTTGCCACTGTATTACTTGTTTTTTCAAAGGAATATTCCACATATGAAATATTCTTCAGTATCCATGTACTGTTGCTTTGACCCAGACTTTCTAATAAAACAAGGTGTTATGACATATTAAGCCTATTTGGAAACAGATATCTTTTGTGATGTCAATTTTTCTACTTTAGATAATATTTATGAATTTCCTATAGCAAATGAAATATGGCAAGCTGGCTTACTAAATGATGACTTGGATGGCTTTTATTGGGGAAATAAAAAAGAGATTTTATCAGGTGTGTCCAATCTTTTGGCTTCCCTGGCCCACATTGGAAGAAGAATTGTCTTGGGCCACACATAAAATACACAACACTAACAATAGCTGATGAGGGGAAAAAAAAGTCAAAAAACAAAAACAAAAAGCAGAAAACTTATAATGTTTTAAGAAAGTTAATGAATTTATGTGGAGCCACATTTAAAGTCATCCTGGGCCGCATGTGGCCTATGGGCCGTGTGTTGTACAACCTTGTTGAAATCCTGTTGTGCCAGTCTTCCCTAGGTTAATGTATGTCTGTACGACAGTTTCATCTCCTTCAAATGCCTCTTAAAATATCACCCCTCAAACTGGATGTACAAATATACTAACTTCCTGAACCAAAAAATCTGGCACATTCAAGAGATATTATGCGTCCTCTAAGGAATCTGACTAGTCAAAGGAATTCTACAGGACTGGGCATTCTAGGCTTTGTGTTTTTTGGTTTGTTTAATTTAAGGAGACCTTCTTCACTTTCCCCAATAAACCACTATCTGAACAGTAAAAGAGTTATGCAGCATAGAGGGAAAGTGGTTGTAACTTTACTCACTGTGAAGAAACAGGTATGTTAATTAAAAGGACATGGCATCAGCAATCATCTGGAAGGGCCATCAGCAGTATGGTATTTAAAGTTATTAATTGATCTAGATCTGTTGTTTGGAAAGCTTAGCACTAGGTTCTCAACATTTTGTCTGACTGCCAAGCTAAGCTGTAAGACAGGGGTACCCAACCCCTGGGCCACAGGCCAATACCAGCCCGTAGCCTCTTAGGAACCGGACTGCACAGAGGAGGTGAGGGGGTGCGGATGAGTGAGCATTACCACCTGAGCTCTGCCTCCTGTCAGATCAGCGGAAGCATTAGATTCTCATAGGAGTGCAAATCCTATTGTGAACTGCGCATGTGAGGGATCTAGGTTGTGCACTCTTTAAGAGAGTTTAATGCCTGATGATCTGAGGTGGAACAATTTCATCATGAAACCATCCCCTACAGCCCCGTTTGTGGAAAAATTGTCTTCCAGGAAAGTGGTCCCCGGTGACCAAAAGGTTGGGAACTACTGCTATAAGAGACAGTTATTCAAAAAATGGCTGGTTATTAGGCAATAACTAGAGTCATGTATTGCTTAACAAGAGGGATATGTTCTGAGAAATGTGTCTTTAGGTGATTTCATCAGTGTGCAAACATCACAGAGTGTAATTACACAAACCTACATGGTATAGCCTGCTACACCCCTAGGCTTTATGGATACAGCTGATGGCTTCTAAGAGACAAACCTGTACAGCATGTTACTGTACTGAATACTGTAGGCAACTGTAGCACAATGTATTTTTGTATCTGTTAGTTTGGTGCAAAAGCAGTTGCGAGTTTAGCTGCAATGAAAAGTTATGTCAAAAACCACAATTACTGTTGCAACAACCTAATCAATGTATCTAAAGCTAGAAAAAAAAAGTACAGTAAAAATTCAGCATTGTAATCTTATGGGACCACCATTCCGTATGCGGTCCATTGTTGACTAAAAGATCATATGCAGTGCATGACTGTACTTCTATGATTACTTAGACTTTTCTTTTTCTCCTTCTTCCTCTTAAAAAAAGAGTTGTACCTGGAAGCATTTCCGGAATTTGCTTTCCGTTCTCTGGGTCTTGGGAGATACATGTCAGTGAAAGTACTGGGATGGACAGAGCACTGCATTTTCATGTTTTACTGACTGATTTAGCATTCTGTTTCTCCCCACCTTGTTCATTCTAATTTCCTATCTAATTCTTTGTTTTTCCCTTTTGAGTGTCTTTTGCTATTATTCCACGCTTGGCCTTGAAATCTCAATGATTAAAATGTCTGAGTACAACCCCTACTGATGTTTTATATAACATCATTAAATAAATAAGCTATGCAAGTATTGAATTTCACACAAGAGTAAAGAATGGGTGTATAGGGCAGTAAGAGGAGATGAACAAACTGTTATCACATAAATTGCTGAAACGTAGGTCCACCCCTAGCACTTCAGGCAACTCCAGACATTAAATATTGGATGCAGGATTCATGGCCTGGCTTTCTATCTGCCCAGCTTGCAGAAATGCCTTTAATCTTTCCTGGTACTCTAAATATACGTATAACAGTAATCATTACCCCCACAGTTCCAAGCAACTCTCTCAAAGATGACTTTCCTTTCTTGAAAAAAATAAAGCAATTAGAAATTCAGAATTGATTACATTGTTATGGTATTTTTATTTTTTTTAACTATTACTACTAGGAAGCCCTCATAATCCAAAAAAGTTTCAAATATTGATTCGACTTTTGATATTTCAAGTTATTCTCAAGAATAAAATATGTACAATATTAAAAATAATTATAACATCAAGTTTTAGAGAAGAAATGAGAAAATGAACACTCTTGTAGACCTGCTGCTATGTAAATTGACTCAAGCTTTCTAGAAGGCAATTTGGAAATATGTGTCAAACATTTTAAAAGTATGTGTACATTTTGATGTAGTAACTCCATTTGGATTAATTTATTCTGAAGAAATAAGTGTGCAAAGGTATGTATTCAGGGAGATTCATTACAGTTTTTATTTTTTGTTTAATAGTGGAACATTGGAAACAACAAAAATAATTAGAAATAGGGTATTTAATTATGGAACAAAGAAATTAAAAACTGGTGAATTAAAAAGAATGAATTAAACTCATATTAGGTGAAAAAATAACATTAAAGCAGGTGACTGACATGATTTTGTAAATATATTTATATAAACGTGAATATATTCATACAGAATGAAAGTCTGGTAAATTATGCAAAAAAATTAGCCATGGTTATTTCCTGGTGGTGAGAATATAAATCACACATTTTTTTTTTGTCTGAGTTTTCTGTTTGTTTGGTTTGCAGAGAATCTGTATTATGTTTGCTTCTTTAGTTTAAAATATTTTTTCTTAAAAACATAATTATGGTCACAGAGATTCAAATAACTAATTGTTTTAGTGGAAGCATCTCATCAACTCGGGCTAGGGGGTATTGTCCATTAGAATAATAATTATTTTGAAAAGCAAGTTTTGAAATTAAATAGGCAAAATGGAGATTGATGGCTAAAACTTCCTTTTCTCAGTAATGTAAAGTGATTGACAAAGAAAGTAAACATCATAAAGGTACTTATCTGATTACTTTTGCTCTCCAGTCTAATTTTCTCTGCTTTGGGGCTCAGATAGCAATGTTAATTGGCAGAACTAGAGTGCATCAGTTAGTAAAAATTATCTTTTCAATAGAATGGACCATACAAAGTCATTGTTTATTTAATACATAACTCAGTGGATTTGACTAAAATAAGTGTTTTAGTCATAAATTACAATTCCAGCTTGGCATAGAAATAAACTATTGCTCAGTTTTCCTGTCCAACTGCCCAATTTTAGTTGTGTTTATTTCTTGTTTAACCTTGATTTATGCTATAGTTGACTTTCTCCAACATTTTTTCTCAGTTTAATAAATCAATATTGATTTGTATTATACCAGGTAAACTGTTTCTTCGATTTAATATCTCACAAAATCAATATATAATTTATAATGTAACTTCTCTGCAAATACAGATTTCCATAGATCCATGGAATCTTGATTCATGGAATGTGGGGGCTATTCAGGGTACTCAAAAGCTTTAGTTCCTGTAACTGCTTAAAGGTGCATCAGGGATGCTCTGGGAGGAAGTTTGTGACTGTAATTGTATCTTTCTGCTTTTAAATGAAAATTTTCTGTGTACCAGGCTCATGATGATGAGCTCCATGAAAATGTCAAGGTTTAGGACATACTAGGGATCAAAACCAGAACAAACCTTAAGCTTTTTAAAAAATATGATTTACCTCTTTCCTATAAAATTTAGCCTCTTAAACTTGTTTCATGCTATGATATTTTTTAAAGTTCTGATAAAAGCTAGTGTACATATACACAAATATGCATATGTAAATCACATTATATGTATACCATGTACCATTATTCATCTCATTTAATTCTCACATTGAAATATTATTACACTCCTCTTTTACATTTGATGCTTTAAGGCTTAGAAAGTCTAGATTACTTAAGTATTACACAGCTGGTGTGATGCAGAGCTAGATCTGATTCAGAAGCCTTAGTTCCCAGCAACTATGTCATT
Organism: Homo sapiens; assembly: GCF_000001405.40. NCBI lineage: Eukaryota > Metazoa > Chordata > Mammalia > Primates > Hominidae > Homo > Homo sapiens. Next base: position 51,773,898 of record NC_000010.11, read on the forward strand.
TTCACCCTCAAACTCATATGTAAACCCAGTTAAAGAATTTCTATATTAGTAAGTGGAATATGGGAGAAAAACAACAAAGTACAGTCAAGTAGAAGGGGAGCCAATATTTGTTCAGCTGTTAATATGTGCAAGACACTTTACTTACATTATTGTCTCAGTTGCTCTTTCTAAAAACCTTGTTGGAGAGGTGGAGTCTCTGTTTGGCTACTTTCTGGCCCTGTGATTTTGGGTAAGAAAATTAAGCACCCATTTACTACCTAGAGAGCTTAATTTACTTACCCAAGCTACCAGGGCCAGTAAGTAGCCAATTTGTGATTTAAACTCAGGCTTCTTTAGCTCTATAACACATGTTTTTACACTTTGTGTATCACTTTGCCTAATGAGATACATTGCATTTTGCTTTTTTCTTCTTGGAGTATCAATTAGAAATAAACATATAAAAATTAAATGGGGGAAATTTCTATTTTTTCCCCTTATACTATATTCTCATCAAACATTGTAATATAAGCTTTTGTGAGCAATTAAATTCTTAGCCTATCCTTACGGTTCTTTCCTTATTTAAATTCAAAGGCCAAAACATATATTCAATTTAAAATTCTCAGTGAATTTAAACCAAAGTCTCAGAAGTGTAATGGGTTTTTTTAAGAGTACAGTATGCTTACTCTTCACACAATAATATTTTTTAATTGTTATTGCAAGTAGGAGGTGTTTATCATATGAAAGAATATCAATTAAATCAGTGGTAATAGCTCAATCCTTGAATTTAAAAATATTATTCATTCTTATTTTAAGCAGTTACTTTAAAAAAATTGCAATTGGCACAAAACTAAGTTCTGGAAACTGTGTCCCAAGGATTGTTTAAAGAAGTACTTTCATGAAGAAAGAGGTCAGTTTAAAGTAATACATAAGACAGAGATGAGATGCATTTTTCATTATATACCTAAAAGCTCATAAATTAATGTGCAAATGGAAGTATACAAGCCTGAGATAAACCTTTTAAGACATTTGTGTTTGGTTGGTTGATTTTAGGAATATTGTTAGTAACCAAGCTTTAAATTTATTTAACATTCTATTTTATCAGTCTTAAAATACTCATTTTAGTCTTTTTACCTTTTCTCCAGAGGATATGTTAGTATATATTTCTGTATATAATTTTTAAAAATTTGTTTCAAAAGAGTATGGTTTTAGCTAAATGACTGATTGGAACTCTATTACTTTTGTATTTTGAAAAGTTGCCTGTTTATAGAGCTACTTGCAGGGGAGGTTATTAAGCCCTGTGATTTATGACAATACAATTTCAACTTCATCTTTCAGGCAAAATCTATTCTGGTAGTGATGAATTTATCTTGTAGTAACTGGTTGTTTTAGTGCACAAATACTATAGCGGTCTAAAGTAGTTAATGGTCTTCAAAGATTGCTTTATTTTTTAAGAATACTTCAAGTCAGAAGAAGATGCTGGCTTACCTTCCTTTAGCTTACTTATATTAATATTTCAAATAGATGCTCCCCAAATAACTTTCTCCTACTTTGAAAGGGCTTATGACATGGACATTTTGAATTTAAAAATATGGTAGCTAATATGTTGTAAGACTTGCACAAATCTGAGTAGATGATTTTGTGAAGGGAAGCGCCTTCTCCTTTCATATTGTTGAGGAAGCCCAGTTCTTTAATTATTATTATTATTATTATTATTTGTTTATTTTTTGAGACAAAGCCTTGCTTTATTACCCAGGCTGGAGTGCAGTGGCATGATCTCGGCTCACTGTAACCACCACCTCCCAGGTTCAAGCGATTCTCCTGCCTCAGCCTCCTGAGTAGCTATGTTTACAAGCACCCACCACCACGGCCGGCTAATGTTTGAATTTAATAGAGACAGGGGTTTCACCATGTTGCCCAGGCTGGTGTTGAACTCCTGACCTTAAGAGATTTGCCAGCCTAGGCCTCCCAAAGTGCTAGGATTACAGGCGTGAGCCACTGCGCCAGCCTGATTTTTCAATTTTGATAATTTGCTGTCTTTCCTTCATGGTTACCCTTTATATTATTTTCTCACGTTCTGTTTCCATTGTTATTCCTTTCTTTATTTTAGTTCAAACCCCAACTACATCATTATGGTATGACCTTCAGCAAGTTAGTCAACCTTTCTCAGTCGGTTTCCCCACTGAAACAAAAAGAAAATATTAAGAGTACCTATTTCAGTGGGTTGTGAGCAAACAACCTGGTAATGCTGGGGAAAATGTTTATCTACCCAAAGACCCCTGATTAACATTCAAAAAATGATGTTATTTTCTAAGATATTTCTAAAAATAAAAGAAAATAGGTAAAACAGTTTAGTTGTCTATTATATTTGTTGGTGAGAACTATAGTGTATTTGTCTTCTAATTCCACTTAGTGGTTGTGACTGTCTAGAATTAGAGTAAATGCAAAATGCACACCTTTTTGTTAAGATGTCTGTACCAAAAAATCTAATAGATAGCTACAAATACAGGGATAGTTATTAGAATCAGAGGTTAGTGAGATAGTAATGGGACCTGACGACTATTTTTAATACATTTTAAGACCCAGTATAAATTAATGAATCTTTTATATTAAATGACAAAGCAAGTTAATGATCACCTCATCAATGAATAACTTTCTACTAAAATATAGGCCGGGCATGGTGGTTCATGCCTGTAAACCCAGTACTTTGCAAAGCCAAGGTGGGCAGATCACTTGAGGTTAGGTGTTCAAGACCGGCCTGGCCAACGTGGTGAAACCCCGTCACTACTATAAATACAAAAATTAGTCAGGTGTGGTGGGACACACCTGTTAATCCCAGTAACTCAGGAGGCTGAGGCACGAGAATTGCTTGAACCCAGAGGTGCAGGCTGCAGTGAGCTGAGGTGGCCCCACTATACTCCAGCCTGGGTGACAGAGCAAGACTCTGTCTCAAAAACAAAACAAAACAAAACAAACAAAATGCTTAAACTTTAGAAGACTATATGATGAGGCAAGAGCAAACATGGTCTTAGATGTTTGGAAATCCTATGCCACGGAAGACATTTGAAGTCTTATAGAAGCTCTCTGCTTGATAATTTAACAGAAAGATTGTAATCGTTTTAAAAACAAGTATTAGAGTGATAATCCAATGATTCTTGTGATTAGCTCATTTAATACTCCCAGAATAGCAAACAGAACATTATAGTTTACTTTTTAATTGGCTGATTTGTACAACTTTGCCATGGACTGATAAAATAGTAGTCTAATTTGTACTGTAGTAAGATAGTGATAAGTACCTGTTTGGTGTCTACTATTTGACAGACACTATTAGGTGATTTACAGAAATAATCTTTCATCTTCACAATAATGCCAGGTATGCATTATTATGTCTATTACAAAGAAGAAGCATTTGACATTCAGATTGGTTATAAAAAGTAACACATCTAGAAAGTACTGGAAATACCCTTCACCCTCCCTCCCGAGAAAGCTTCTTCTCATTCCCACAAAATAGGATGCACATCTTTTGGGTTCACATAGCATTCTGTGCATCTATCATTAGTCTATTCTGTTTATTTTGAATAGACTTTATTTTTTAGGGTAGTTCTATTAATTGTTTCACAGCAAAGGAATGTGCAGAGATTTCCTGTATACTCCCTTCCCCCACACATGCATAGCCTCCCTCACTATCAAAATCCTGCCCCACTGTCGTACATTTGTTATAATTGACATACCTACATTGACACATCATTATTGCCAAGAGTCCATAGTTTACACTAGGGTTCACTCTTGGTGTTGTACATTCTATGGGTGTGGATAAATGTAAAACATGTGTTCACAATTATAGCACCATACAGAATAGTTTTGCTGGCCTAAAAATTCTCTGAGCCCTGTCTTTTCATCACTCCCAACCTCAACCCTTGATTTTTTTACTGTCTCTATAGTTTTGCCTTTTCCAGAATGTCGTATACTGTAGTTGGAATTGTATAGTACATAGCCTTTTCAGATTAGCTTCCTTCTTTTTGAAATTTGCATTTAAGCTTCTTTTATGTCTTTTCATGGCATGATAGCTCATTTATTTTTAGTGCAGAGTAATATTCCATTGTTTGGTTGTACCATAGTTTACATATCCATTGCCTCCTGAAAGACATTTTGATTGCTTCTGATGACTGTTCTATCTTAATTCTGATTACTTGTGCCTTTTTCAACAGTACATTGTTTCTTCACAGTGTAAGCTTTACGATTAAATAACTTGACATTTCCAGTTCCTGTCGTGGTAGCCTCCCCATGGTTCTGCCTCAACAGATATATAATCTGGAATGTGCCACATTTTGCCAGACTGTGAGGATATAGGAGTTAACACCAGGCATGAAAGCCTACATTTTGGTGATGTTTCTCCCATTAGGTCTTTATAGGGGTTCTGAGAACGTAGAAATGTTCTCAGGTCGTTGTGATCTCCTGCTCAATACTGACTAATTGGCAAATTATTTGAAGATGCCGCCTGCTGTTGCTACCAGTGCTACTGACCAGCAGCAGAAAGCTGTGTTCCTACTTTGGGTGCTGCCCTTGGGTGCTTCTAAGGCAGCAGAATGCAGGGGGATGCAGGATGCTGTTTAATGCCTTACTTTATTTTGCTCAGGTTAATTTAGCTTTCCATTTGGTAGAAGAAAAATTAATTTTTAAAAGAAGAGAACATAATTTTAAAGAGTGAATTATTCTTAGTTTTAAATTCCACAAAAAATGTGTGGTGAGTGATATAAGACTGGATTTCCATTTTCTGAACCTTCTGTGGCTGGAGACAGAAACAAACATAATAATTTATAAATTTCCAGAAATAATCTTGTAGCTGTAAGAGTAGATATGATATTTACCTGTGGGAAAGTTTTTCCTTCTTCTGAGAGATGTCAGGACAAGCAGGATATCTGTTCCTTGTTCTTGGGATAGTGATGACTTTAATGAAGTAATCCGGATGTCAGTACTTCAGAGAGAAATCCCTACATATTTTGATTAATAAAGCCAAAAGCTGTTCTACTAGAAATAAGCTGGTAATCTTTATATAGTTTTTGTGTTTTTTGAAAAGAATATGAAAAGATGGTTGGTTTTTCTTTTGCACTGGAAAAGAGGTATTCGGGTTTTCTCAGAATGAAGATGGAGAAACAGAAGGAACAGAACTTTAAGAAAAGGTTGGGATTGTTAGGTATCCATGTTTTAACCAGATAGTCCAGTATTTGCCCTATATTTCCATAAAAGAACCACCCATTAAGTGGTATGTTTCTGAATACCGTTTTTCATTCATTAGGCATGTACAATGTACTCTTGATCCTGTTAGGTACTTGGTTACAAGAATTCCTTATATGGTTTGGTATTTTATTTGAAACTTTATGACAACCCTACTTGGAGAATAGATCTTCTGTCTTTCCTGTCCTTTGTCTTAGGCAGCAATACACGAATTTTTCCTTGTGGGTCCCCTGTCTACCAAGCAAATCAGCTCATGCTTATACGCCTCTGGGAGATACCAAAGACAGCCAAATCCAAATCCCAATGTAAAGTCTCCTGGACAACCCACTACTATTAAGTGTGAATGATTGAGTCAGCATATGAACCCAAGTATATCTGACTCTAAAGATTATTATTTTTTTCATAAAACAGTATGTTTCCTTTAATTTGAAAATTTGCTATTGAGCCAAAAATCATATGATAAAATTAACTACACCACACAACCTACTGAGTCCTTGAAAGGCCTTCTCCCCTGAATGAACAGAAATGGCTGAAGAGAAGACCCTAACTCCTGGACCACCTAGCCCATTTAGCTCTGATGGCACCTGGCTAATGACTTCTCAGCTGTCTCCTGCAGAGCTTATGGCTGTTTGCAGTTGTGACCTGGCTCTGCATTCTGAATGTTTTTAAGGAGCGACTGGTGACATTTTTTTCTTTTTTAAATTGGGGTTTACTGTGGTTTGCCTACCATAGTCATTTCCTGGTTATTGATTTTGATGTTTTGCTACTTCATTTTATGTTGCTCAATGTCCATGAGCTGAATTGCCTGGGGAAAAACTACTTTGGCTTTTAAAATAGTTTTCCATCCAAGATTCTGATTGGCAGAAAAGGTTGAGGGCTAAAGTGAGCCTGGTTTTGATGTCTCCTCTGTTTGATGACCTAGTTGATTTAGCCTGAATCTCCCATTTTGAGTTTGGCATAATCTGTTCTTTTAGTTACAAAGGAGTAGAAAAACTTACCGCGTAATCTGATTCTATAAAATAGGTAGACTTTTTCTGGTAACATAGTCTGCTGTTAGGGGTGGGTTTTAAATAAGCAGTAGTTTGTACCCTGTCTTACCTTTGGGTTGAGTAGTGTTTGAACTGAGCATCATAGTGGGAGATGAACTTTAAGTGTAGAATTTTCCTCCTTTCCCTACATACTTTCTTCATAAGGCACAGTGATTTTTACTGGGTTTTATACTAGAATGAAAAGAACCTTCAACAAACTGGAATACAATTTGGATGCTGAACAATAAATAAATAAATAAATTTTGGAAGACTCTGGGTAAATCACATATTTTTCTGTCTTCAGTATTTTATCAAAAAGACTTAAAAACATTCTAAAGAACTTTAAAATGCATATTTAAAATACATGCTCATGTACATGATCAAGCAAACATTATGCAGCCAATAGTCTTAAGCTACCACATAACTTGTAATTCTTATTTATAAAATCGTAAGTAACTTTTAATCATTTCTGGACCCTATAATTGAGTCTGTCTCTGTGTTACCAGTTCCTCAAATTAATCCATGATTGACTTGGTTTGTTAGACTTGTTTTTACTTAGCTAAATAATTTGATGCTGGATATTGTACTTGACCACAGATTGTATGATACAGTAGCTGATGATTGGGGAATTTTCTTCCAATAAAACTGCGAAGGTCATTAAGTTTGTTCCTGGTTATTTATTTGCAGGAAATGTTGCATTCCATTTGTAAACCAAGAAGATGGCCTATTTTTTCTTATTCATGTGAAACAGGTGTCATCACATAAAATTTTGACATAGAATAAGAGCAAACGTTAAGCCTTTGAAAGAAATGTTTATCATCCTTGGAACTGCAGAACTTAAAATTCTGGAATTTTTTGAAGTCATTTTATATATCCTAAAGACAATGGAAATGGCGTATTGGGAAAGAAATGTCTCGTTGGATGGGGTGGTGTTTAAGATATTCATAATGATTACTGTGTTCTATCTAGAGAATAATTGTTGCTAAAACAAATTTTAAAATCTCCACTTTTTGATATAATTTTCTTTTATTTTTCCCCAGGGCCAAATGCCCTTTCTGCTTTACAAATATTAAAACAAAAACAAAAGCAAAAACAAAAAACAGACATCTGGATCATTTCAATCATCAAATGTCTTTGGGTCTGCATGTGTATTTATACTCATGATCCCAAATATGAATAGTATAGGCGTAAACAAGCCATTGGTTACAAAGCTTTCGTGTTATGTTGTCATTTTAAGAAAGGCTGTTTCCCCAAAGGCAAGAGGGAAATTATAGCAAGTGCAGTTTTAGGCCTCTACAGTTATCCCAGATTACCTTTTTATAAAATGTTGACAGCCTCACAAAAACAGTCTCACTGTGCCGACATTTGGAAGCAGACAAGCATTGCAAAGTGTACCATCATAACAGCAATGGTTTGGGTCTCTGAAAAATCTTTTTATACTGTTCACAGAAAATTGTTTTTACCCCTTTATAGATATTCAGCCAAAGCTTTATATTCCCCTTTAGAAAACAAGAGCTAGTACAAGCACTCTTAAGTAGTCACAGCTGGAATTAGCACTACTTCTGTCCACTGGAGAGGGGCAGGAAAAGTAGGCTGTAGCAAGTATGTTTCTATGTCTGTAATAACTATTGTCCTTGAGAAATCCAGAGGGAGTTAGAAGTCCCTGTAATTCCCTTTTACAAACAAATCAAGTAAATAGTTATATGTGAACATTCACCATCAGTTATGTCTGCAATATTGGGCAAAGTACTTATTAATTTTTTCTTTCTCCTCATCATCACGTTCCCCCTCACTTCAGCCCCCAACACCCATTGTATTTAGTTCAGTATTGCCTTAGATGTTAAAAAAAAAAGTATCGAAATCTGAAGGGGCAAGGTTGTTCTATATGCAAGTCTTAAGTATTGTAAAAAATGCAATAGCAATAGAGAGATGAAGAATTCTATTAAATCAAGTATTAATATTTAATCTTATACAGACACTTTTCTCTCATCCTAAACAAGGACTGCTTAACTTTAAGCACTTTTAAAGAATATATAAAAAGCAAATACAGATGGTCCTCAACTTACAAGGGTTCAACTTATGATTTTTTGACTTTACAATGGGTTTATCAGGGCGTTAAATGCGTTTTTGACTTACAATATTTTCAACTTACCATGGGTTATCAGGTTGTAGCCTCGTGAGCCAAGGAGATCTGTACACAATTATTATAGCTTGAATGCAAGCACATCAGACCCCTTTCTTTGTGTATACAGGTAATGTTTATTTAATACTTACCTGTGCCAAGCACTGTATCTTCATATCATACGAGGCAGGTACTTCTACTAGTCTAATATTACAGATGAAACTGAAGCACAGAGAGGTTAAGTAACTTGCCCCAAATCACACAGCTAGTAAGTGACAGAGCTTGGACGTTGATATGGTTTGACTCTGTGTCCCAACTCAAATCTCATCTTGAATTGTGCTCCCATAATTCCCATGTGTTGTGGGAGGGACCTGGTGGGAGATAACTGAATCTGGGGGTGGTTTCCCTCATACTGTTCTCATGGTAGTGAATAAGTCTCACAGGATCTTATGGTTTTATCAGGGGTTTCCACTTTTGCATATTCCCCATTCTGTCTTTGCCTGCTGCCATCCATGTAAGACGGGACTAGCTCCTCCTTGCCTTCTGCCATGATTGTGGGCCTTCCCCAGCCATATGGAACTGTAAGTCCAATTAAACCATTTTCTTTTGTAAATTGCCCAGTCTTGGGTATGTCTTTATCAGTAGCGTGAAAATGGACTAATACAGACCTGTATTCAGGTAGCCTAACTCTTGAGTCCTGTCTTTTGACGCCTGTGCCGTATTGCTTCTCACTGTACAGTAGTAAGATTGCCAGGTGATTCATATGTACATTTAAGTTTGTGATACACTTATCGAAAACTCTTAGTATTAAAAAAAGTCTCTTTTAGAAAAAAACAAAATAAAACTATTCTACCCCAATTAATTAAATTGCCTCCTGATTTTCCTTCAGGTTTTGAATATGTTGGAAAAAGAGTAAATAAGACATTCTCTTTGCTCTTGCTCCTCATGGTCCAGTTATAAGCTTTGGCATGAAATTATATAAGCTTATTCATTTTCCTTAGACCAATGGCTCTTTTTAAAAATATTTATTTATTTTTTGAGATGGAGTCTCACTCTGTCCCTGAGGCTGGAGTTCAGTGGCATGATCTCAGGTCACTGCAACTTCCACCTTCTGGATTTAAGCAATTCTCCTACCTCAGCCTCATGAGTAGCTGGGATTACAAGCGTCCCCCACCACGCTCAGCAAATTTTTGTGTTTTTAGTAGAGGTGGGGTTTCATCACCATGTTGGCCAGGCTGGTCTCAAACTCCTAATTTCAAGTAGTCCACCTGCCTCGGCCTCCCAAACTGTTGGGATTAAAAGTGTGAGCCACTGCACGCAGCCAGACCAATGGTTCTTAAATGTGAATCCTGGACAAGCAGCATTCATCAACACCACCTGGGAATTTAAGTGTGTACGTGTTTAAGCCCCAGCCAAGACCTACTAGGGGGCTGGGGCCCAGTAATCTGTGTTGTAAGAACCCTCCAGGGGATTTTGATTACCTCTCAAGTTTGAGAACCGCTGCCTAAGTTTTGAAACAGCACAATATTTGAATATTATTAATTATACTTCACCATAGAGCCTTCAATAAAAACATTGTTTTGCAACTGAGACAGTTTATAAATGTATAGGAAAGTGTGTGATGTGAACTTGTTTCATTGAAAACAAGCCACAGTCCTAAAAATAGGAACGTAGCAGCTTCTTGCAAAAGTGGCTAATTCTTTGGAAAGGGTTGGCTCTGGGGTTTGCCCTCTTGCCATCTTGGTTAACTCTTTCTCCATCCCTTTTGACATTTCATTATATTTGGTTGCTGCTTTTAACACTCCCCTTGTGAAAGGCCTTCCTTTGCTTGGTTGACTGATATGTTCTTTCCCTGCTCTGGCTGAGTTTGCCCTTTGACAGGCCCCTGACTTCCCCATCTCCACAGCAATCATTTCCTCAGCGGCCCTGCAGAGTCTCTTAGTTGTGTTCTAATAAAGATTAAATACATGCTGTGCATGCAGGATTGGGCCCTTCAGCTCTTCTTTATGCCATTGTGTCTAGCGTGGAGATGAGTAGCCTTCCTGAAAATTGCCCATGGAATGCCTTTTTCCTCATGGTATTTCAATGCAGTACACATATGTAGCTGTCCCACTGGATTTTAAGCATCAGCTCGTGTGTGTTCTGGTGTTCTTAAACCAGAAGCATACGTTGGTCATCTCTTTCAAAGTTAAAAAGCAAAACAAAACAACAACTTCTACCTGCCAGAAAGGATGAATAGTTTTACCCTGGGACATTTCTAAGGAAACCAGAATAGTTTTTTACTTGTTTAAGAAAAAAATCAGTTCCAGTGTGTTTTATATTTGGTGTAAATCCTGAAATGATTGTCACTTTGCTAGTTATTGGAGCAACCCAATTGAACTGTGACTGTATCTACTTCTGATAAGCTACCCTTAGTCTACATGCTTTATTCAGGCATTCACCTACAATATGATTACAGTATTGAACTTCCTTCCCTGGAAATAAGAAACAGTTCCCTAAATCTAAATATGACTCTATGGTTTCATTAGTGTCAATAAATTTAGCTTGAAAAATAATCATAGCTTTTGGAATAAAAAATTACATTCATTTTTGTTTTTGCCTCTCATCTTTCCTTTTTAATATTAAAAGGCCAAGTGTATTATTAATGGAAAAAGGCTAATTTGTGACAGGTGAGCAATTAGTGTAAAGACTATGACTAATTAAAATAAATTTTCTTCTCATTTTTTTTAGAATCCAAGTTGCTTACTAGGGTTGTTATTCTTTCTTCCTTCTTTAGGCCATAAAATTGCAATTTGATTGTTATTATATTAAGATATTTGGGAACATAACAAGTCCTCGTTAGAAATAGCTTCTTGATTTCTTCTTCTTTTTTTTTTTTTTAATAAATATCCTAAAAAGACTAAGTTTGTTCTCCTGCCTCTACCCATTCTCAAGTTTGAGAATTGGTCAGTGGGAACCAGTGCATGAAATGTGAAGGGAAGATCAGGAGTGATTTTGAGTATAACCTCTAGTGTTTCCAGGTTTCCATGTTTGTCTTTTGCATAAACCTCTGTCCACTGTTACTGTGGCATAACCCTGACCATGGACGTTTTTCTTGTTCTTTGTTACTGTTTCCTGGTTGGAATAACAAGAAAAGAAAAACAAAATGTATGGAAAACACTGATCAGGGAAGCTGAAGAGCTGGTAAAAAGAAAAACAGAATGACAAAATTGGAATCCTAAAACATATTCCTGGCTTTCTACTTGAACGCAACTTGTAACAACTTAATGTCTATCTATTATATTATTGATTGACGTTGAAGATTTTACATTCCTTTTTCACAATACTAAGTGGAGACAAGATACCAGTAACATTAAGAATCAAGGCAGATTTTGTTGATTATCTGCCAACTCTGCATAGTAGAGTCTACAGTGAACTAAGGTGTACTTCAGCTGATGGCTCCTGTCAACATGATGCCATGCTCAATACATGTCTGTATTTGAATAAACATGATGGTCTCACGCCATGTTTAAATACATAAAACCAAATTGATAAGGACATAGTATGATTAAGAAAGCACTCATTACTACTTTTGTCGGTGACTGGGAGATATCTCATTCAGCCAATATAGATAAATAGATCAATAGTTACTTAAGATCATAACTTGTATTGTCTATACAACATAATAACGCATCTGTAGCTAGTAATGACATAGGAGTTATAGAACCTGAGCTGTACTGTCTCCACCTTTCAGAGTTTGCTGCATCTTTGAAGCAGGTGGCATTAGTTATGCCCAAGAAAATAGATCTGAAATTCCTGTAAATCTGTAGCTAACATTATTTCCAGAATGTATAGAGTCAATTGTTAGAGATGTGAAGTATCAGAATGGAATAAACAGTATCAATGAAGTCAGAGAAGGTGGAAAGTTTGTTGATAACTTATTAATTTTTGGCTAAGATCTACTAAATTGCTGACTAGGTGATAGAACATTTGGCAGTAGAGCAATCTAGGCTGGTGGATCTGTTATTTCTCGGCTGAGTGGTGAGACGCCTTGGATATGTTTTAGGAGTGTGTGGCCTTGAGCTCGATAAAGAGTATCTTGATTTTGGGGATGGGACTCAATAAAAGGAAATAAGGAAATAGGATTTTTTATTTCTAGAGTTATAAAGTAAGGTTTTGCTAGCTTTGTTTGCATCAGGAATTTGACCAGCCTTCTTTTCTTCACTTGTGTAGCTCCTCCTCTTCCAGGCCTAACTGTAAGCACTTTTTCCATGGGGAACTCTTCCCTCACCACTAGGGCTAGGTTTGATGTTCCTGTGGGAGGCTCCCCACACACTCTGAATACGTCAGTTGAGCCTGGCACTCACCACACTATATTGATATTGCTTTCTTTATTGATCTCTCTTCTACTAAACCATTGCAAACTTTTAGAAGAGGAAATATATGTGTCTTGCTCACTGTCATAGCTATATTACTTGGCATTTAATATTTCCTAAATATGTATTGTGGAACAAATATTTCATTACTTTCAAGCTTTACTTGTGACTTAGTATTTTCCTTCTTGTATCAACACTTACTAATGTTTCTACTTAGTGTCTTGAGATCCTTACCACTTAGTCATAACTTTCAAGAAATTCAGTCAGACTGCTTTAAGATTTCTAGAAATATGTCCATCCTTAAGTAATTTGCCTTTAAAATAATTTACTGTGTATAAGGTTATGCATTCCAGGTTTACGATTTAGAAAATATAAATATTAAATCAGTAAAATATTGATCTGAACATTTTTGGTCATTGTGGTTAAAATTATGTGATATGAATTGGGAATGTCCTTGAAGGACTTACAGAAGATGAGCTCTATAGCTGAACCTTTGGTTGGATAATCTTCATAAAATAAGTTAATCCCTCTAAGCCTTTTGTCTACTGATAAAATTGAATTGTAACCTGTTTTTATCTAAGTATTGTTTCAAAAAGTTAAAGCCTTTTAAGTAAAGCCCTATGAAAATTGTCAAATTTTGTTCAAATGGCTTCAAGCTTTCAGAGTTTATTATCCTTTCTGTATTATGCATATATAAATAAGAGCCCTGTGCTTATGTCAGAATTAGCAATATGTAAGGTATTGAGGACCCCTTCATGGGCTTGAGACAGAGACCAGATTCAATCTAGTCTAAGCAACAATGTAACTTAATCAATCATACTTAAAGGAGGACCAGGGATGGGCAGGGACTGGGCACTGGAATTACATTACCCAGCATGGTAGTTCCCCAAGGAAGAGATGCTGCTGGCAGAACAACAACACATCCATGGAAGCCTCAGTAGTGGCCAGGCTTAAGAGTTTAGAAGTAACTCTGCTGTGTATATTTATACCTATCTTCACCTCCATTTAGTAAGTATACATTCTCAAATGGTGCGAGCAAATATTTGACTATCCCTGGTCTGCCATTCCCTGCTGAAGGAGTTGGCGCAATTATGTTAACCAAGGGCAGAGTTTATTAAAGTCAGAATTTGGGAAGTTCTTATCAAAACAATTATTAAATATTATCTTTTGCTCTTATTTTAAAAAACAAAAGTTCACAAACTACTTATTACAATCAACCTTCAGAATAACTCAGTTTTGAGGCTTATTACCTATGAGGTGAGGCAGGCATGAGGAGATGACACAAAGAGAAACATACTTAGTTACAACTGGAATTTGATGGAAGGACTGGAGGAGAAAGGTGAATAATGTGTCAACCGACCTTTGGGTTTATGTAGTTGAGCAAGTCATTAGGGAGACTCGATAACACTCTGAGTATCATTGTGTTGTACACTCACAATTGGTGCTATTGTGTGGAGAGAATGCTCAATGCATGAAAAAGGAGTATGTTTAGTGTGTTTAAACAGAATCTTTCTAGAAGTCATTCAGATTTTTTTCCTATGGAAGATACCAGTGATCCTTTTGTAAAATACAGATTCCACTGTGTCTTTCACCTGTGTAAATAAGGATGATCAGTTTTCATATTGCATAATCATACAATCAACCTCTGCATTCGTGTCAATTACAGCTTATTTTTCTAATCATTGTTGAATGATCAATTTTCTTTGCAACACTATGTGTCTTCCAGACTAGAAAAATCACAAGAAGGAAAATGGCATTCTCATAATGTGCCAAAGCAGACAATTTTGAAAATGTAAAACAGCTGAGCTCACTTGACATTTCTTGATGTCATCTGCCAGCAGAGAAGGCTGTTAGAGAGCTCCTTTTCCTGGTGATTTTTTTCCCAGAATTCTGCCAAACTTAGAGAATGACATATAATTTACTAAAGAGAAAATGGGCCAAAATGGGACATTTCTATTTCAAAGTCTACTAGCGCCTAGAAAATAAACGCCAAATAGTATTCCATCTGTTTCTTTTAAGCAGCCTTGTCATATACTTTCTTAACGGGACCTAGATAGAAACATTGTTTTCATATTTAGTGAGAACTTGAAAGGGTTCACAAATTATGGCTGTGGAGTCTAGCCTTAAGGTGGCAGCGAACTGAGGTGATGTAGAGGTATATGACAAAAATGGAAACTTCTAAAGCATGTCAACAGTGAGCTCTGCAGGAGAGTTACAGCAGGGGGCTAATAGACATATAATCTTGATGCTTCATTTTCCCTTCAAGAAATGAGATTAATTAAGGATATGTCAAATATATGGCTTCTGGCATATGTACACTGTTTGCAGAAAGAGAAGCATTCTAAGAACTGACTAGGAAAAGGAAAATCCCTCCTTTGGGAGAATACATTTTAATAATGTTTCTGAGTTAAAGTCACATCGTTTAACTTGTAAGGAATGGTTATTAGCATGACTTTTTAAAGATGTTTGCTTGAATTTCAGCAAATATGTAAGCATATGTTGTCAGCATCTTGGTGTAGTATTTAGGGATACAGCCTATCCAACTGACAAAAGGACTTACAGATGTAATACTCATTTTCCTAATGAGGTTCAAGCCAAAATCTGTTGTTATGCACAGATGTGCAATGACATTTACCAAACATGTGCAGATATTTTTGAAGTAGGCACACTGTTAAAAATGGCCCACCTGCAGGAAATTGTGTCATCATGAGAGGGTTGCCACAAACTCTATCTCAGTAGCTTGCCAGAGGCTGAAGCTTTTGACCGAATCTCAAAATGTGAGGTGTTTGGAGCTTCACTGATGTGAGATGGACCCTCCTACATGTTGAAGAGCCTATTGCAAATGGATCTCATTAGTCAATGGCCACTCAGCCTCTGATTCCTTTTCTAAAAAATCACAGATCATCTGTTTAATATTATTGATTCTAGAATGTTTCTGGGTTTTGACATCAATTGAATTATATGAGGCCTGTTTATGATGGAATTAAGGGCTACCCTAAAATGAAGAGTTAGGAGACATTTATGCCTAAGAGCACCAGACAGGAATATGTATGAGTTATTCATTCAGCAAACATTTATAGCCTTTATTATGTGCCAGGAACAGAAAAGACAAAGATGAACAAGATGATACATTTCTTGCCTTCAAATAATTCTGTGCTTCTGTATGCCAGTTTTCTTGTCTTTGCCACCTTATTAACACAATATCAGTCATTCTCTCTTTTTTTTTTAGATGGAGTCTTGCTTTGTTGCCCAGGCTGGAGTGTAGTGGCACCACCTCGAGTCACTGCAACCTCTGCCTCCTGGGTTCAAGCAATTCTTCTGCCTCAGCCTCCCAAGTAGATGGGATTACAGGCACCCACTGCCACGCTCAGCTAATTTTTCTATTTTTAGTAGAGATGGGAGTTTCACCGTGTTGGCCAGGCTGATGTCGAACTCCTGACCCCAAGTAATCTGCCTGCCTTGGCCTGCCAAAGTGATGGGATTACAGGCGTCAGCCACCACACCCAGCCTCAGTCATTCTTTAATTTTCCCTCTTAACTTTGCAGCCTGTCTAAATCTGGATGCAATTTACCAGAATGCTTCTTTTATTCCTCAGAGCTAGTGAGCCAGTTGCATGACTACTCTAAACTTTTGTTCTTTCTTTTTTGACTCTCTTAGAATTCATTGTCACTACCCAATATGTTAGTGCTAATTTGTTCTCTGTTTCCTATGTACTTATAAGATGGTAATACCATTAAAAGACATAAATGAATGGATTATATTTTAGGTGTCAGGTGCCATGCTGAGTATCCACCATGAGTTATTTCACTCATATCTGAGAATAGTTTCATGAGGCATGCATTATGATATCTGTTTCCTAAAAGAGAATAATGGAAGCTTAAATTAATTGCCCAAAGCCACATACTCCTGTATGGTGAAGTCAAAATGCTTAAACAGGACAAACTCCAAATTATTGACTTTTAGTGTCCTTTATTTCTTTTGAATCCCCTAGAGTCTTTAAATTTGTTCATAGAGCATTGATCTTATGAGACACCATTTCCTTTATTAAAGTCAACACGTGGTATCACCTTTTTTCTAGACATCTGATCTTTTGATGTAGAGTCTGTCTCTAAACCATCAGTGTTTTAGTATAATGCCTCATAGTTACTTCAAAATAACTATCATGAATATACTCAATCATATAGCTGTATGCCTCACTCCTCTCTGCATTGATCCTTTTGCTTCTGTAAAATGTTATGGTTCAATTGCTCCTTTGAGATGATCCAATTCAATTTACCATCCAATTCAGTAATCCTGTCTCTGTTATTTTATTAGTTGGTCTACTTGAACACTTCCTATAATGGAAAACTTCTTAGCACAAGATTCAACCATTGCTATACTCATTTTGTCTCTAAATTGAATCTTAATAGGCAACCCTATAAGTTCTAATTACTAGTCTTAATTCTGTACTTTACAAGTTAGAAGGAAATCACTCTTAATCCATCAGAAACACTATCTGGTCGATTCATTCAAATTTCATTTGAGATGGAATAGTTAAGGCTGTTAGCTTAAGATGGAAAAATAAAATAAAGAAAAATATGAGTGTATAAATAAAGAGGAAAAGTAAAGAAAGTTAGCCTGTAGCAACTAGGAGCTATTTGAGAGCAAGGTCTGTATCTTGTTTATCTTCATACCACCAGTTCCTGGTATAGTTCTTGGCACATAGTAAGGTCTCAAAAATGCCTATAAAATGTTTGCAATAAATCTCTTAACTCTTGACTTCAGGGTAGCCCTTAATTCTGTTATAAACAGCTCCTCTGAATTTACTTGAAGTCTAATAAACCCATCAAATACTTTAGGTCTTTTACTGACTTTTCCCTTTCTCTTATACAGGATGACTGTCCTCAATTTCTAATCTTTTTCACAGATTGTTTCCCCTTTTTAACCCAGTCATTTATTTAATCCGAAACATCTGCTGAACACTTTAGAACTATCATAGATCTCAGAGTAGAATATGGTACCGATATAACTCAGGTATATGAATAACTATGAAGCCGATATAACTCAGGTATATGAATAACTATGAAGCAAGGTATAGTGGCAAAAGTCACTAAGGAGACACAATCAGAAGGTTGCAGACATTTAGAGGGGGAAAAATTCTAGTTGAAGTGAATGGGAAAGTCTTCATAGACAAAGTGGCTTTTGAACTGAGCCTTTAGGGACTACTAAGATTGCTGTAGGTAGAGGAAAATAACTGGAGTAAAGACCTGATGGCAGGAAAAGGATGGGTGGATTTGGAAACTATGCATTCAGTCCATTGACTGAAATATGTTATGTTTAAGGGATTATGGGAGATGAAGCTAGGAAGATACTCTTAATTAGAGACGTGAATTAAATGTAAAGATGAATAGATTTTGTTTTATTTATGGCAGTAGGAAGAAGCTATTGAATGTTTGGTGGGTATAATGATGGGATTAGCATAGTGCTTTGGAAAGATCAATCTAGTAGGACTGCTTGGAATAGCTTATCACTTTCTTAATTGTGTTTCTTTGTAAACAGCTCACAAGTGATTGTGTGATCTTTACTATTCTTGATAAGAGGGAACTTGTAGCATTTTTATCTTCATAACTCTATTATTATCTGTGGGCTTCTTGACTCCTCCTTTCACTCTTGATCCCGTGTTTATAACCGATTTACACAGAAATCTACTTATTTCTTAGAGAAAAAAAATTCCTTTTTTTCCCTGTTCTTTTGCCTAATATACCTGACCTTTGCCTCATGCCAGGGTTGTTTTAGATGACGTAAGTTTTATTTATTCTTTCCGCTTCTTCCCCACTTCGTCAGTCAATTCACAGCCTCCATTACCAGCTTTTCATAGTGCTGAGTTTCCATAGATTTTCAAGTACTTTAATTGTGGCTTAACAAATGTAAGAATATAGTGTATTGTTATTAACAAGGAGTGCAAGGAGAAAGACTGGGACACTTGGAGCATTCCTTGTTTCCATAGCCTTATTCTGCATCTTCAAAACATGTTACTTATTAGCACCTATTTTTTGGTGCCTATGGGTGTCCGCCAAAATGGAAAAAGGCAAGAATTGATTTTTTATTGGCACATGTGATCCCTCACATCCATCTATCCCTGTTGCCCTCAATGCCTGCCATCACATGAACTCTGGATGGTTCACACAGCTTTGACTTTTAAAGATTACTTCTTCAACACTGTTGGGAGTTACTGTGCCTAAAAATTAGAGCTTGTAGAATGAATTAAAATGCTTATTCAGCTTTTTTACTGAAGACCACCTAAAGACAGAGGGTAGTTCTGAGCTTTCTCAGAAAAAGTCAGTCTGTAAAGAGTAAAATAAGTAAATATTTCTTCTAATGTCCAGACATTGCTGTATAACCACAGGGATAAACAAAAATCAGAGAATCATGGCATTATTAAGTGAAAAAAAAAGGTGCTAGTGACTATCTCCAAACAAATGGAGATGTAAGAACTGCCCAACAAATAATTCAAAATCTCTATTTTAAAGAAGGTCAGCACACTGCAAAAAAAAAAAAAAAAAAAACCAGAACAACAATTTAACAAACAGAAAAACAATATGACCAGAATGAGAAATATAATGGAGAGATTGAATTTTTCTAATCAAATAAATCTTAGAGCTGAAAAATACAATGAGTGAAATGGAAAATGCAATGGAGAGCATCAGTGCAGAACAGAAGAATCTGTATGCTCAGACAGGTTATTAAAAATATATATAGTCAAAGGAGAAAAATGATGGAAAAAAGAACAAAAAACTTGTGAAATTTATGGGATAGCATCAAAAGAATGAATGTACAAGTCATAGGAGTTGAAGAAAAGAAAGATAAAGAGGAAATAGCATATTTACAGAAATAATAGCAGAAAACTTTTCAAACCTAAAGAAAAATATAAGTATCCAAGTACAGGATGGTCAAAGGTCTCCCATCAAATTCAAGCCAAATAAGACTACTGTAAGACATAATCAAACTGACAAAAATCAAAGACAAAGAGAGGAAAGCAGAAAAAGAATGAAGTAAATAACATATACAAGAATTCCAATATGCCTAGCAGCAGACTTCTCAGCAGAAATCTGTCAGGAGAGAGTGGGATCATACATTCAAAGTGCTGAAGGAAACAATATATTAGATAAAATACATTTTTGTTTTTTGAGACAGAGTCCTACTCTGTTGCCCAGGCTGGAGTGCAGTGGCATGATCTCAGCTCACTGCAACCTCTGCCTCCTGGGTTCAAGCAATTCTCCTGCCTCAGCCTCCCAAGCAGGTGGGATTACAGGCATAAGCCAACACATCCAGCTAGTTTTTTTGTATTTTTAGTAGAGACAGGATTTCACCATATTGGCCAGGCTGGTCTCAAACCCCTGACCTCAGTTGATCTGCCCAGCTCAGTCTCTCAAAGTGCTAGGATTACAGGCATGAGCCACCGTGCCTGGCCAATAAAATACATTTTAAGTCAAAAACTTTACAAAGAAACAAAGAAGATCATTGTATAATGATAATGGGATCAACCCAGCAAGAGGATATAACAATTGTAAATATATATGCACCCAACATCAGAACACTTAAATATATAAACAAATGTTAATAGCTCTGAAGAGAGAGATAAACTGCAATAGGATAATAGTAGAAGACAGAAGACTTCAACACCCTACATGTAGTAATGGACAGATCATACAGACAGAAAATCAATAAAGAAACCCAGATATAAAGTAAAACCTAGATCAAATGGACCTAACTTAATTGTACAAATGTTCCATCTAACAGCTGTAGAATACTTCTCAACTACACGTGGAACTCTCTTTAGCATAGATTACATGTTAGGCCACAAAATTAATTTTAACAAATTTTAGACTATTGAAATAATATCAAGTATTTCTGACCACCATGGGATAAAAGTAGAAATCATTTTTCTACTGTAGTTATTAATATATTGTATATATAGTGACAGTAGTTATTAATACATTGTATTCTTGAAAAATGCCAAGAGAATGGATGTAAAGTGTTCTCACCACAAAAATGATGACTATATGAGGTATTGCAATTGTTAATTAGTTAGATTTAGTCATTCTACAATGTATACATATGTTAAAACATTATGTGGTACACAGTAAATATGTATAATTTTATCTGCCAATTTAAAAAATAAAAAAAAATAGAAAGTAAAACAAACAAAAAACACATATTAGTAAAACAAGCTAGGCTTTGGAGTCAGATGGAAACTAACTCTTTTAATTATTATATATGTGACCTGGGCAGTAACTTAGCTTTTCTGAGACTTAATTTGAATATTTATAGAAAGGAGATAGGACTATTTCATAGGATTAACATATGTTAAGCAAACATAACAAAGTTTCATTATGCGTAGTAAATGTTCAATAAAGATACCCTAAATAATGATCATTATTATGAACATATTTGTACTAAAATCATTATCCACTTGGTCCTTCTAGTATCCTTAACATTTGAAAGTCAGTTTACATTTTAGAATCATTATGTTGGTGAATTGGTTTCCAACAATTATTGGAAGTCACCATTGGCCTTTACAGGTTACTTTCTACAAGGTATGACGTCAAACAGAAGTTAGAGAAACAGCTATTTTATTTCTATCTCCTTCATTAATTACAGGGCAGCCCACTCCCTTCCAATGTATGAATATGGTGACAACATTGATGGTAATTTTTCTTACTATTAAGTATATAATAATGATTCTTATCTGCAGTGTCCAATTTTATGACCCATCCTCTATATGTCATTGAAAGGATAACTTTTCCAGTTAAGAAAGGTTAAAATATATCCTCCAAACTAACTGTGAGGCAATTTGTGCAGTGGAGACATTGGCATGCTCCAGATGCATAGTAAACAGCAAATGGCCTTTCTAATTATGAAGCATTTGTCTCAGAACATTCCGGCAGTTAGAATTTAGCTTTAGGCTAACATATGCCTTAATAATGTTGGGAAGCAGTTATGCGCTTGATGGAGCCCCTCAAGGTCTCTCCCAATCTTCTTATTCTGTCACACTAAGTATCTGAGTGATCACAGACGAGTCAAGCATCAGTAAAGTGGGGGTAGAATACAGCTTCTGGGATTCCTTGAGCATATATTAAAGTACCTTATGATGTGAGCTGATATTCTTTAATGGTAAACATGAAGTAGGAGAAAAAGCTAATCATACTTTTCCATGTCTTTCTTCCTGTGCCAAGCCCTCAATTTCTGGTCTATTTAGAAAAAGTATGGATCAGCAAACATTTTAAATGAGACTTACCTACTATCTGAGAATGTTCCCTGAAAAACATGGTCCAACTTGAGAAAAATAATTCACTCAGGAATTCTTTTAAGAAATTTCAACTAATGTTCTACTGCAGGGGAAACATGTTCAGACACAACTAAAATTGAAAACCAGTTCTCTCCTAATAGAGATTATGACGGTCTGTGGTGATTTGCCAAAGAATTATAAGAATATTTTATTTAGTTGAAATGTTTGACACACAAAATTCAATTCAGAGTATATTTGATGAATTCTCACTTTGTTATATTCCAAGGAACAAAAGAAATGTGTAAAGAAATGATTATCTGTTATGAGTGTTGTTATTCTAGAGCAGCACTAACCAACAGAAATGTTATATAAGCAATATATATAATTTTATATTTTCTGGTGATAACATTAAAACGTAAAGAGAAGCAAGTATAATGAATTTTACTAGTAAACTTTTATTTTACCCAATATACCAAAAATATTATTATTTTAACATGTAATAAATGTAAAATTATTCCTAAGTTATTTTACATACTTTTTTCATACCATCTTCTAAATCTTGTGTGTAACTTGTGCATCTAATTTCACATTAGCCTCATTCCAAGTTCTCAATAGCCATGTATGGCAAATAGCTATTATATTGGACAGTGCAGATTAAAACATATCAAGGGCTAAGCTTGATAAAAGTTTAGCACAGAAGGGTCTGGAAAGGGAAAAAATATTTAAAAGGTACTGTGCTGGTTAATTTTGTGTCAGTTTGACTGGGCTAAGGGATACCCAGATAGCTGATAAAACATAATTTCTGGGTGTATCTATCAGAGTGTTTCAGACAAGATCAGCATTTGAATCAGCAGACTGAGTAAAATGATCCACTCTCACCAGTGTGAGCAGGCATCATTCCTTCTGCTGAAGACCTAGTTAGGACAAAAAAGTACAGGAAAGGCAAATTTGATTTCTCTTCTTGACCTCCATAACTGCATAGCCAACTTCTTTCATAAATACCCGCTTATGTGTCTATATAGCCTGTTGGTTCTGTTTCTCTGGAGAATCTTGACTAAGATTGACTAATACAACTATCTTTGCTTGGAGTCTTGCAAGCATATGTGGGAGTTTTAGAAGACAAATAGGTGGAAAGTCATTCTAGGTTGAGGACCTATTATGAACAAAGGCATGGAGTAAAACAAGCTTTTATCTGGAGGGGTAGAGGCAGGCTTGAAGCTGGGGAAGACATGGGGAATGTCACCAGTGCCTGCTTATGGAATTTGAATTGTGCCTTAAAAACTCTAGGTATCTGAGTATTTTTTTTTTTTTTAAATACTGATGTGAGACTTCTGAAAAGTAAAACAAAGCATGAAACACCATTTATTTAGTTATCTAGCCAAGTAAATACATCTGATCACTTTTGTTTATTGTAGTAAAATATATATTTTTTACTTATATATATAATGGTTAGGATGATAAATTTTGTTATATATATAAGAGAATATATAATAAAATATATATTATATATCTTTATTATATTATTTATAATACATATTATATTTTATTTTATAATGTAATATATTTATACTATATTTATAATATACAGATTATAATTTATTATATCATTATACATTATATATAAATATAGAATATATAGATAAATTTGTTGTATGTATTTAATATTAAATATAATATTTTATTATATTATTTTATGTTATATATAAATATCTAATATATAAATATACAAATAAAATACATATGTAATAAACTTTTATTTTTTATATATATCTAAAATATATCATCCTAACCATTCTGAAGTGTACAATCAATCAGTGCCTTTAAGGACATTCACATTGTGCAACCATCACTATTCATCTTCATAACTTTTTCATCATCCTAAACTGAAACACTGAACTTATTAAAGGGTAGCTCTTCATTTCCCCGCTCCTTCCCAGCCCCCAGTAACTACTATTCTACTTTTTATCTCTGTGAATTTGACTATTCTAGGACCTCATATCAGTGGAATCAGACAATATTTGTCTTTTTGTATGTGGCTTATTTCACTTAGCATAATGTTTTCCATGTTTATCTATGTTATAGCACATATGAGAATTTCATTCTTTTCACAAGCCTGAATACTATTTAATTGTATGTATACACCACATTTTGTTTACTCATTCATCCCTTGAAGGACTTCTGGGTTATTTTAACCTTCAGCTATTGTAAATAATGCTGTTGTGAATATTAACACACAAATATCTGTTTGTGTTCCTGCTTTCAGTTATTTGGGGTGTATACTCAGAAGTAAAATTTCTGAATCATATACTGATCCCATGTTTAATTTTCTCAGGAACCACCATATCATTTTCCACAGTGGCTGCACCATCTTATATTCCTACCAGCAATGCACAAGGGTTCCAATTTATCCACATCGTCACCAACACTTACTATTTTATATTTTTTAATAAAATAATAGCCATCCTAATTGGTGTAAAGTGCTATCTCATGGTGATTTTGATTGGCATTACCCTAAGGTTAGTGGTGTTGAACATCATTTTTATATCCTTATTGGTCATATACATTTATCTTCTTGGCCAACTTTGATAAAAGGAAAAATTTTTCCCAAAACATAAAATTTACTTGGCTGATACTTCATAATATTTGTGAAGCTTCATCTTGGCCTTCTAATATTCCCAAAGCTATCTGAGTGTTCAGGTGTTTGTCCTGGGACTCAGCCTGGTACATTTATTTCTAGACTATAAATATCTGTAGGACCATGTGATTTCAGAATGTTTTTAAGATAATTATGCTTTTTTGTTATAGCAAGGAAAATTTTGAAAGCATTAGAAAATACTTTGAAGATAATAGTTTTATATTTATAATGTAGAAAGTAAAAGAGAATTACAAGCTAATTTTGCTCATTGCAAATCACTTAGGTTAGTTTATAATGTGCACGGTTCTCACCCCTTAAAATGGGGTAATTTTGCTAATACAGTGCTGTCTGCACTTTTGAATAATATGAATGCAGCATTCATTATTCCACTATTTTATTTTCACTCATATGTCTAGGCTAGAAAGTCGAATATTAGGGTCAAATTCCCTCTACCTGACTTTTCCTATCTGTTTAAGATCCTTAATATCTTTCAAATTCATCTACCTCTCTAGCTTCTTTGCCATTACCAAGGTCCACCCACCTGAATAATTCCAAGAGCTGCTAACTAATCTCTGTCCCTGTCTTGGTCTCTCTCTCTGTCTCTATTTCTGACTCTGTCTCTATTTCTACATCGGTCTTTCTTCCCTGAGTCCTGTCCTCCTCCAGTGCACCATTAGGTACTACTAGCAAAATCTTTCTGAAGGGAATCATTTGCTTTAAACCCTTCCGTGCCCCCCTCTTCATTGGCCTCAGTATCAAGTTATAATTCCGCATCAAGGCACACAAGAACCTTTGCCATCTAACCATTGTTGCTTTCCTTATCACTTCTGTCTCACCTCTGACTACCCCCTAGCATCTCAGCATCCCTGGACCACTTGAAGTTTCCTCCAAGGGACACATTTTCTTCTTTGTATATGCAACGAGACTCCTCATTTTGGAAAACACTTGTGGTGGTAGTTGTGGTGGTGGTAGGATAACCTCAAAAATATCTAGCAATCCCCGTGGCATACTTGATTCTGGAGCAAGGTCTGTGAGGACACTGTTGAGCTCAGTATTGACACTTTAGTTACTGAGCTGTGGGGATCCTAGGAGATACTGGGGGAAAGGCTGGGAAGGGCTGTCAGGGAACTCAGGGAAATGGCTGTTTACTAAATAGTATAAAAGTATTTTGATGTTTTAACAAGTGGCATGACCCTAGGGACACAGACCAGCTAAGTACTAGCCCTGCCATTGCCACTCCCACTACCTCTTTCTCTGACCTAATTTTTCCTCCAGGACTTGCTTAGAGCAGGGGCTCTTAATCTTGTGTGTGGGTGTCATGGACCTATTTGTCAGTTTGGTGAAGCATATGGAATCCTCTAAGAGTAATCTTTTTAAAGACATGAAATAAAATACATAGGATAACAAAGAAAATCATTTATATTGAAATACTGTGATGACATTTAATGATGAATAGTGATATAATTTATTAAAACTAAGATCTAGAGTCAGCTCTAGTAACTGCCATAATTTTGAAGTAGTGATGAATGTAAATTATATTAAGATATCTGCAGCAAATATAGGAGGGTATAAAAATAGCCGCTGTTTCTATTGGTAACAAATCATACTGTGGTTTGTTGCTCAAATTTTTATAATCATAGGAAGAAATGCTAAATATCAGTTATAGTAAAAATAAGGGTGCTCTTTTTTCTCCCTCATGTTCAAGAATCTCTTGAGTTCCATTGACAGATGTTTTGGAGCTCCATAGATGCCAGATTTCTTAGTCAGTTCGGACTATTGTAACAAATACAGATGCTCCTGGACTTGCAATGGGGTTATATCCTAATAAACCCGCATGAGTTGAAAATATTGTGTAACTCGAAAATGCATTTAAACACTCAACCTACCAAACATCATAGCTTTGGCTAGCCTACCTTAAACATGCACAGAACACTTACATCAGCCTACAGTTGGGAAAAATCATGTAGCACAAAGCCTATTTTATAATAAAGTGTTGAATATCTCATGTGATATATTGAATACTTTACTGCAGTACAGTTTCTAGTGAATACATATCACTTTCACACCATTGCAAAGTTGAAATTTTTTAAGTGGGACCACTGTAAATCAAGAACCATCTGTACCATAGACTGGATGGCTTAAAAGACAAACATTTATTTCTCATAGTTCTGGAGGCTAGAAGCCCAAGATAAGGGTACCAGAGAGGCTGGCTTCTTGCTGATGCCCCTATTCCTTGTTAGGTCCTCATATGGCCTTTTCTTGGTGCTTGCATGCAGAGAGGGAGATCCTCTTTTTCTAAGGACACTAATCCCATCATGTGTGCTTTACCCCCATGATGTTATCTAAATCTGGTCTCATCCCAAGGCAACCACCCTCTGATAGCATCACATTGGGGATAGGGCTTCAACGTTTGAATTTTGGGAGGACACAAACATTCAGTCCCTAACCCTGGGTGTAGCATCCTAGCTTAGATGATTCTTTTCTGCAAAGCCTTCTTTAATCATCTCTTCTCAGCTCCTCCCCATGGAAAGTATGTGTTGCCTTTTTTGTGTATTCACAGCCCCAGAAGCTTACCCCATGGTAGCATTTATCCCTTCATTTGTTTTTCTCTTGTACTAGACCAGGAATCAGCAAGTATTTTCTGTAAAGGGCTGGATAGGAAATATTTTAGGCTTTGCAGTACATATGGTCTCTGTTGCAATTACTCAGTTCAGCCAGAGACAATATGTAAATGAATGGGCATGGCCGTGTTCCAGTAAGACTTTTATGGACACAAATTTATTTATGGACACAGAAAATTGTTTCATACAATTCTCATGTGTCACGAAATATGCTTTTTAAATTTTTCAACGATTTAAAAATACAAAACCCATTCTTAGCCAGTAGACTGTACAAAAACAGACCATGGGCCAGATTTGGCATGGATAATAGTTTGTCTACCTCTGTACTAGATCACAAGTTTCTTGAGGGCAGGGACTGTGAATTTGTTTTCTATCCCGTAGATCTAGCACCAGTGTTTGCCATATTGGTATAAAATAAATATGAGCTGAATAAATATTTGAGTCTATAAGTGCATTATACTTACATATGCTTCCCAATATTCTTCCAGAATTTGAGTTGAACAACAGATGAATTCCTCAGTAGAAGAACTTAAGCCAAATCCAGATTTGTGGTCTCTTAGTCTAGCACAATTTTATGGCTCCTTCCTCTGTAATCTTGGTGTCCCCTAAATGAAGGCCAACTGTTTCATGCATTGAAGTTGTTCTCAATGTACTTGTGTGTTTAGAGGTCTCAGAGTAATGGGAGTTTATTTTCCACTGAGTGGGATGTATGTGATCTTAACCTGAGAAAATGATATACGTTTCAGCAAAGAATTTTAGATACATACTTGAACAAAAAGGAAAATCACTTCCCAGCACTGTCTCAGCTTTATACCCTTTAGACTTAAATGTTCAACAGTAATCATCATGAAAATCACAGGAATTTTATTTGTGAAATGCTTATTCCCTATGGAGATTAACACATCACTTAAGATCAAAGGTGAATGAAGAGATATATTTTTGAATGGTCTCTGTAAGTTAAGGAAGCAATAGATTTACACTCCAGCAGGCTAGTTAAAAAGCAAGATGTTAATCACAACTCTAATATAACCATATTTTTGATAATAAGTCAAGGTGATTATTAGTCATGCTTGTCCATCTGTAAAAAGCTGACTTGACTAATATGTATGTTGGCCAAAGCTAAATATAAAAATGGTTTTGGTATCATGCCCAAGGTCATGGACAAATTTGCAATCTCATCAAGCTATGTTTATTATCATGCAAAATATCTGAACTACAGTTTTACCTAGAGACATTTAAATAGCCCATGTAAACAGGAACCAAAAAGTAAAATGAAATTATTGAATTCTGTCAATTTATTTTTTAAAGTCATTTTTCAACACATAGATAATGAAATCTGATACATTCAGTTTAGATATTTTGATGGGCATCAGATGCTACACAGGCTTAAATTATTTTGTGGGTTTTTGCAGGTGAACTTCATGTACATAAAGTTCATTAACAAATTTGCCTAATGCCTACCAAATGAAATGCTAATTTCTAGTGGAGGAGCAGAGATTATAAGAGATGAGACAGGGACTTTTCTCTGAAGGCATATACAAATTTATATAAGGAAACATGATACAGACCTGGGAGAGAGATAACAATATTAACACATGCTAAGCACCAAGGAGAGAAACAGATAGAAAAAAGCAGCAATTCATAGGACAGGAAGGGACCAGGGTCAATGCCTGGGCTTGAGGTGCGAACTCAGACTTAAAATGCTGCAGATAGCTTGGCCACAATAAATACGTGTGCATGTGCATGCACTACCCCCAAACCGTGCAGCAACACTACGGAAAGCTCAGCCATTTCAGTCTCTTTTCCTGGTAGACTCCTGAGCTCATTTCCAACTGTGCTCTTGTTTATGTACTTTCCCCACCCAGTTACTCTTTGCCCACCTCTTTTGTAGCTCAGCTCCCACCACTTTTTAAGGTCCCACTTCCTGTTCCAACTCTTAGGAATCCTCTCCTGATTTCCCAAGTTCTTTGTGGCTATATCATCCAGTCTTACTGTTTGTCTCAAGTAAAAGGGTATTGTAGAAAAGAGTCTGGAGGCAGCAGATGTATTAGAATCTGGCTGAAGGATACCTGCACTACCTTTGTTTTTGATGAAGTGTCATTTGTAAAAAAACATTTAGAATGGAGCCAGGCACACACAAGTTCCGGCTGCTTTGTTCTATTTCTACTTCAGTGAGCATGTTTTGTTTTTTCTTTAATATAGAGTTGGCCAAAGGAGGAGTCATATTCTAGTTTTGCAGCTTAAATGTTGCAAGAAAAAAATAGATACAATTCAAAGATGGGTTTACTCTGGAGTACAATATTCATTCCTCTTATCTTCCTTCTCCCCTGTTCGTTTGTGTGTAACTTCTAGCTCCTCCCCACAAGGCACACACATGTCCTAATTCCTCTGATAACTTTTCTTCTCCTCCTTCACTCCCAAATCATGATCCATCACATTCACTGGGCTTAGTCTTGAGAACTGTGAAGCAGAGAAAATTGCGCTCTTCTGTCTTTCTATGTTTGGCTCAATTAACTATATCCTGGCCCTATTCAAAGCTCTTCCTCAGACTACATTCCCCATGACTATGATATTTGAATTGTTTTTTTTTAGTTCATTTGCTAGCTTAAAATATTTTATGTCATGAAAATTTGAAAACATATATAAAAGTAAAGAGAATAAGAAATCTCTCATATGCCATCACACCAATGTAATAACCAAGATTTTTAATGTGCTCATTTTAAAAGTGTTACAAACTATAACATTTGTCTTTTAAACTTCTCTTAGTCATGTGCTTAATAGATCAAATGGTGAAGTTGTGGGGTATTCAGCTTCAACATTTAATTATGCATTGTCAAAGATAGTGGTGCATAAGAGAATAAATTAAAATTCAACAAACATGTCTACTGAAACTACCACGTGGCAACTTTGGGCACAGATTTCAATTTGTAAAACGAGCTTTGTGTGGAAATCATTGTGTAACTATTATTTCTATTATATAAATTCTCCCCTAAGCCTGAAAATTGAAATTTTACTTCTACTTTTTATAATTAAAATATTGTCATATGAGTCATTAACACCATGCTGGGTAATTACTAGGGTTTATTATTACTTGTGAACCTCTTTTTTCTTCACGCTATTTTCTTCATATATAGCCTTGATTTACAAAATACTTTCTATGTGGGCTTAGACAATCAACCCCCAAGGGTCATAGAGCAAGGGCAACAGGAATCTTCCTAGTAGATAATAATGCGAGTATGGAAAATTATGAACTACATTTTGCCTGTAAACATATAGGACTTTTTTAATGAAATAGGATAGCATTGTGATATTAGCTTTAAATGTTTGTAAAAAGTCAATCATTTTCATGATTCTCATGAATAGCTCATCTCCTTTGCAGGATGTTGTTCACAGTTGAAATTCTCTGATTAATTTTTCCCTGTTTGTTTCTCTTTTATTTTTCTCCAGCTCTTGTAAATGTAAAACTCTGGGCCATTGATCGACAATGTTTTCAAACAATAATGATGAGGACAGGACTCATCAAGCATACCGAGTATATGGAATTTTTAAAAAGGTAGGATGCTTTCTTTTCTCTTGTGAGAGTGTTTACTTTCCTTTTAGCCCTATTATCTGAAATGCAGCACCCTGAATTTCAGGGTGCTTTTTGCCTTTCTCTCAGTCATAATAGTCTACAAATGTGTAGAGATGTAAGACTTCGAACATGCTTCTTTATATTTCTGGTGATAAATCTGTAGAGATGTAAGACTTCAAACAAGCTTCTTTATATTTCTGGTGCCAGTTTCCATGACGTATGGTTAAGTCAGAACTTCAGAGTTTCATGACATGTATTAAGCCATTCTCTCATAGAAGTGAGCAACTCAGAGAAACAAATAAAAGTGTGCTTGAACAAAAAAGGATATTGAATACATCTTCAACTATTTATTGGTTAATATATTTATGACACATCTTCTAAACAGACTCACACTGTAAGGCCGAGTCATCTCTTGTGTGAGTTTCCATATGAAAGGTCAGATGACTAAGATGAAAAAGTTCCAAGAAATAGCTTATTATCCTTTAATCCTGAGCTTAATTTCCCAAATAAAATTCATTTTATGCTACAGGTTTGAAATATCAAAAGCTTTTCTTTCGTTTATATTATATATTATCATAATAACTCAATATAGGATGGAAATTAGAATAAAAACCAGCTTTTTATTTCTTAGGAATACATTGATACTCACTGAAATGAATTTCTTTGTCTGCAAGTTTATTTTATTTTAAAGAAAATATATTATCTTATAACTGAAAAGAATATTGACAATTCTCATGACTTTTTAAAAAGCACTTATTTTTAAAATTACTTTTCTTTTGAAAACAGAGCCATTATGAAATAGTAATACACAAGTTATATGAGCATATAATGAGTGTACTGCTAATTAAGGTTTCATTTTTGATCGGTAGAATGTTTAACTTTTTTATTTTGCTTTTTATTTTTGGTGAATAAATTGTTAAAATGAAGCTAAAAAGTCAAATTCACATTTTGCTTTAGTGATACATCTTAATAGGTAACTACTGAATTTTCTTAAGATGCAATTTTTGATATTCCTTACTTGGATATTTCTTGTAGTTAATTTATTTTCTTACTGCTTCATCTTTTATACATTTTTATTTCCATGTAAGACCTTTTATATTCATGCTAAAGGGGTAATACAATTCTAATGTGATATCAAGTAATAATATCAGCATTAATTACTGTCAGCAGGGTGTTGATTTTTTTCCTCAATGTGATTGGATGAAGAAACACTTAGAAGAGGTAGAAATGTAAATTCCTATTTGAAATTTAATATGGTTTTCAAGGGAATTAAATTATTCAGGTGCCTTCTATATTGGGTGAGATATATATATGTATGTGTTGATATATATGTGTCTATACGTATGTTGTGTGTATGTGTGTGTATGATGAAAGATAGAGACAGAGAGAATGAATATTCACTTTAAGCCTTA
This sequence comes from Homo sapiens, assembly GCF_000001405.40. Classification (NCBI taxonomy): domain Eukaryota; kingdom Metazoa; phylum Chordata; class Mammalia; order Primates; family Hominidae; genus Homo; species Homo sapiens. The sequence goes on from NC_000010.11 coordinate 51,806,121, forward strand.
ACTTACAGTTTAAGAGCTATTGATTTCTTCTAGTGCAGCTCTGATAAAGATTACAACTGGTAATCAATGAAATGGTAACCTATGGAATGCAGTCCATTATTCATCTCACATACCTAAGCGTTGGACACTTACGATGTTGATTTTAGCTTCCATAAGTTTGTTTTTCCAAGAAAATGGACTGAGTGCCAATGCTATCTCAAATGACTCTAACAAGAACTCTTTCTGGTAGCACTATTTCAGGAGATGAAGATGTCTCAATCTGTGCATACGCACGTGTGTATGTGTGTGTGTGTTTTCAAATTCAAATCTTAAACAATAAAATTGGCTCTCCAAAGTAAGTGAACATTTTTTGTTGGTCAGAATAGAGCTGGCAGAGTTTAACTGGCTGAATAAAAAAAGAGGTGGTTGCTGACTTGGATGTCACTTTCCATCTGGCTACTCCATAAAACATCAAGTTCACATTGTTTGTGAACATAGGACTGGGCCGGGAGTCCAGAGAGGTGACAGGATGACCATCATTGCCTGAGGCCAGCTTTAATCTTCCTAAATTACAACTGTGACCAACTGGTTCTCTCTCTATAACTTTTTCAGTGGAGCACAGTTCCTGTTGCATTATTTACAGCCTCATTAGTTGGACATTCAAGGCCCTCCTATAGCCAAAAACAGTGAGGTTTTTCAGCCTGGATTCTTCTCTCTTCCTGCAAACCAAACAATTCCATGTACCCATGCCTTCCCTGTGCTTTTTCACAGCACATTCCCTCTCTGCCTGCCCCTCTCCTCCGTCACTGTCAATGTTCAAATTCTTCTCTGCTTTTTGGACCCAACTAAAAGCTGCCTTTCCATGTATACTTACCTCATTACACTGAGAAGTCACGTCTTTCCTCCTCTGGAGCTTCATCTCTGCCATGTGTTTTATTGTCTGCTTTGGTTTATTGTAATTTGACCTTAAGCTTATTTCTACTTCTAGACTATAAGCTGTTTAGAACTAGGGTTATTTCTTAAATATCTTTGTATGCTTCTTTGGCACAAAACTTACTGCTTTGTAGATAGGCACTTTATAGAACAGTGAGTACAGAGCCAGTACATAATTTTCAGCACTCATTGAAGAATGAAAATGCAGGACCTCTTTCAAAAATTGATAAAAAATTAAAGACCTTGACAGCACAGCATTAAATCAAATGTAGGAACCTTGTAAGTGCAGGTCCTATTCTTCGGTACAAGTCACACATCCATGAAGCCATGTAGGGGTGGAAAGGGTACCATCCCTTTCCTCTCCATTGTAAGGGTCATGGATGACACACTTATATAAAAAGACGGGTTAACAAGAGAAAAGCATTACAGATTTATTTAATTAAAGATTAAGATGACACAGGAGCCTTTCTGAATGAAGTCCTGACAATACAGGGGAAAACTGCATTTTTATGCTTAGGTTTAATGAGAATGGGCAGTGATAGAATTGTGCTTGAATGAAAAGAGAGTGCTCTAATGATAGTGGCCTAAGTGAGGAAAACCAGCAAGGCTTGTCTGTTGAGATTCTTCTTGGCCTCTCTGTTGTAGCATTTCTTCCTTCCAGGTATGAGGTAGGACTCCTTTGGAATGAGAATCTTAATTTCTGCATGACAGCTGTCAAACAGAAAAGCAGGGGAAGGTTAAAATAATATTTTTAGGCTTTATGGATGGCTTTCGGGGGGAAAAAGGAGTCTGTCTCTATGACTTGCTTTGGGGAAAAGGAATTCTAGTTTCTATGGCTTGCCTCAGGGGAGAATGAGAAGCCAGAGACAGGAGGCAGGAGAAGGTCAGAAAGAAAGGTGTTCTGAGGCCTTCCCTTCAGGGTGTGTTTTTCTGAGCTCCGAAAGCCAGAAGAGTGAATAATATTAATTCCTTCTTCACATCCCCAGGTTAGCTATACTTGGTACCATTTATTTTTCAAGGCTATTAAGAGATGGCATAATAGCCTCAATGATAGATACTATCAAAAACTCAGAAGACAAAATTAATTGCTTTCCTGTAACTTCAGAATTACTTTTATCTCCCTGTTTGTTGTTGCTTTTTAAAAAATTGCCTGTCTTTCTTTTACATCATATAAAACTTTAAAGTTTTTTTGTATAGTCAAGCACTTTTTTCTTTATGACTTACAAAAAGTGACTTATCACTTTTTTCTTTATGACTTTATCACTTTTTTCTTTATGACTTCGGCTGGGTGTAGTGGCTCAGGCCTGTAATCTCAGCACTTTGAGATGCCAAAGTGGGCGGATTGTTTGAGCTCAGGAGTTTGAAACCAGCTTGGTCAACATGTGCAACCCTGTCTCTGCAAAAAATAGAAAAATAGAAAAATTACCAGGTGCAGTGGCATGTGCCTGTGGTACCAGCTACTCAGGAGGCTGACGGGGGAGGATCACTTGGGCCTGGTAGGTTGAGGCTGCAGTGACCTGAAATCCTGCCACTGCCCTCCAGTCTGGGCAACAGAGAGAGACCCTGTCTCAAAAAACAAAAACAGAAACACCACTGCATATATAGGAAGGCTTACTTAATATTATAAAAATATTGACTTTAAGTGCTTTAAAGCAGTCTGTGAAGAGGGGGATGTTTTTCTCTATGTGTTTGCTAAATAAAACTTGCATCTACATTTTTCTGTTATAGATATCTTATACTTTATACTTTGTAAATGACTTGAAGGGGTAAAGCAATGGCAATGCTATTAAAAAAATGAAAACTCTAGCAAAGGATCATGCAAATTATCAGAGTTCTTTTCGGTAGGGGTCTCTGTTGTACATCCCAATGCCTTCCCAACCGAGGAATTTCAGGAGCTGCCACAGGCTAAAAAATGAGTGGCTCTCTATAATTTCTTATCTTATGGTGCCACTGTTTCTTCTCATTTTTCTGAATAAACACGTAAGTTTGGAGGAGGAGAAAAGTGGACACACCAGGCATATAAATGCACTGCTAACAGGCAAGAGTTTTTCTTTATTGTCAAAGTTGGGTTTTATTTTTATTCCATTGTATTTACCCATTTTGTAACTCCCAGTCATGTGGTTTGGCCCCCTCTTTGCTATTAGATGCCACATCAAACTGTGATTCTGTCTCTTTAATCCTATTTAGTCATTTCTCTTTTGTGCCTGTATTTCAGATTCCCTGATGTAAACACAGATGTTTCTATCCAGATCATAGAAAAAAAAAAAGGTATTCAAAGGGCAGTGCTACTAAGCATGGCATAATTGCTATAAGTCAAACGATGATTTTGCCAGTTGCCAGCATTTTCTGTCATCTTTGGCTACTAAAAAATACTGTTGTTTTTAAGACAGATTCTGAAAAATGAGCCAAATAACTGCCAGAGTTAATTTGTGTTACTTTCTTCTGAGCATATTCTCTGTTACTGCTATTAAAACTGGTATCTATACCCAGAGGAGCATTAGTATGTAGCTGTGTGACCATTGGGGTTTACTTGTAGAAACTAGGTTTTCTTTTGTTCCCAAATTATGAAGCTGATGAGGACAATGATAGTGGTGGACCCTGATTTATATTACTTGTTTCACTGACAAATCAGAGAGATGGCAGGGGCTTTTTGGAATTTAAGCTACACAGTAGATCCTGTTCACCCTCAGAAAATATTTTCTTTATCCACTTGGTAAGACAGATATGCT